>NC_000004.12:129527441-129830471 GCF_000001405.40 Homo sapiens | reverse complement strand
GTAAATTGTTACGCTGGAAAGTTGCTTTAATGTAATAATATTAATAAAAAAGAAATAGGACTGCGAATTCCACTAAGAAAAATTCAGCATTTATTGAGTCATTTTAATATACTAATCATAGGTCTAAGCGTTTTCTGAGTATTACTTCCTTGGATCCTTATTCCAACCCTACAAGTTAGATATTGTTATCATCCCCATTTTACAGAGGAAACAACTAAGATAGAGTGGGGTTAAGGAATCTGTTTAAAGCCACATAGTTAAGAAGCAAACAGAACGTGAATCTCTTCCTCAGAGCCTGTACTATTTCTCATCATGCTATAATGTTTTGTTGAGAAGGAGTCTGACTATTTTTTTCACTTCTAAATAGGTAAGACAAGACCTGGCATATATAATAGATCCAGCTAAGAGGGTTTGGAGTTTGACAAGTCTCAGTGTTAACAGGAATACCACTATAAAAGTGTTGAATTTGGGCTGCTCCCTTACTGCCTAGCTGGATAACGTAATGCTGCAATATAGGTGACCTTTATCTAACAGATGGTGACAGATTTTGAGACAAGCTTGAAGGAAATTAAAAGCCAGCAGGTAAATGTTGTTCCTACTAATGATAAAAAATGTTAAGGTCATCTAAAAAAGGCTTCTGTCTTTATTAAAAACTGACGCTGATTTAAGTGGCCCTACCACTGACTCCCTTGGCTTCTATAAAAGAAAGTGTGCATTGTGTTTTCATTTTCTGTCTTCTCACTTTCTTTCGTCAGAATGGTTCTGAAACTTCAGTATGTATCAGAATCACCTGGAGCACTTGCTAAATCACAGATTTCCAGGTTCCATTCCTGGAGTTCATGATTTAATAATATGAGAATTTCTTTTCATAATAAATTCCCAATTTATGCTGACAGGGAGTTTCTTGTCTATAGACCATACTTTGCAAACCACTGCCCCACTCCACTGTACTTCAAAATCCTTCAAAGAAGTTTAGAAGGTGCTCATCAATGTATCTACAATTGCTCTTAGCACAATGCCTGACATACATGTATCAAAACAAGCAAGTAAAAAACAAAAAAAACTTGTGAACAGGTTGGTACAAAAGTAATTGCGGTTTTTGCCGTTACTTTTAATAGCAAAGACAGCAATTGGTTTTGCACCAACATAATAACAGTATTTTCAAATATAAACTTTGTGAGAAAAGGTACTTCTTATTCCTTTCTTTAACAAAAAGTAATTTTGACATAGTGACTCACAACATAAAGTGTTTTAAGAGATTTAGATAAATATTCTTAGCAATGTGATTCATAATAACCAATAACTGGAAACAAAGTGAATACATTGTGATATAATCACATAACAAATATTCTACCGTAATAAAAATAAACTACTGCCACACATACAAGAAGGATGAATCTTATAAACATACTGTTGAGCCAATGAATCCAGACATAAAATATTACATTCATCTAAAATTCAAAAATAAACAGGGCAAGATAGTGGTTAACTTTGGGAAGAGATGAGTGTAGCAATTTGGAGGGGATATGATAGGAGATTCTGGAGTTCAGGTAATAATCTATTTCTTGTCAAGAGCATGTTTGTTTTTGATAATGCATTGAGCTGTACACTTATTATTTTTGGTTTTTCTGTACATATGTAATATTTTAATATGGTGTTTTATTAGTAGAAAATGTTTAAGCTTGAAAAATAGATCAAAGCTACTGATTTTCCATTAGTGGACAGAAAATATTCATTCATTGGATATTTTCCAGGTATTATGGGCTAAATTGCATCTCTATCTTCCAACTTATATGTTGAAGTTCTGACCCCCAGTACCTCAGAATATGACTGCATTTGGAAATAAGGCTTTTGTAAAAGTAATTAAGATAAAATAAAGTTATATGGGTGGGCCCTAATCTAATATGATTGGTGTCCTTATAAACAGAGGCAATTAGGATGCAAATAACACACAAACCTCGAGAGGAGCAACTATGTGAGAGCACAATGAGAAGACAGCCATTGCAAGGCAAGAAGAGAGTTCTCAAAAGAAACCTACTCTGTGGACACCTTGGTCTTAGACTTATGGTCTTCAGAATTGGGGAAAATAATTTTTTGTTATTAATGCCATCCAGTCTGTGGTACAATGTCATGCAAGCCCCAACAAATCAACATACGAAAATAACTTTCATATCTATTACCATTGTATATGTTTGGGATAACAAAGGACATGAAAAATGATAATCCTGAATAATGTCTATGTAGTCCTGAAAAATGAAGGAGAAAACTTTTTCAAGCTCTTATTTGTGCCCTGTGTTTATGAAATTGTGCATTGATCCATCAAGATAGAATTGTGAGTTAAAATTCATTTCCAAATATTCCTTCTTCCTCAAACATAATAAATGTTATGCCTCCATTTTCCCAACTTGAAAATGAGGCAGAGGAATTCAATTTGCCTGTGCTTGAATAGAAATTTTATTTACCAGTGTTCCTGATAAATACCCTTCCTGATATCATTTATGTCATTTCAGAATGTGATAGTTACTTTTATGTCACCACTGCTAGTCCACAGTGCCCAGTTATTTGGTCCCACACTAGTCTGGATGTTGCTGTGAAAGTAATTTTTAAATGTGATTAACATTTTCATTAATGGACTTTGAATAAAACAGATCACCTTCCATATTGTGAGTGGGCCTTATCCAATCAGTTGAGGGCCTCAAAAGAAAGGCTGAGGTCTCCTGAAGAGGAAACGATTCTCCTCTAGTCTGTCTTCAGACTTCAGGTTGGAACATCAACTCTTACTGGAATTTCTAGGTGCCTGTCCTGCAAATGTCATATCACCAGCTCCCCAAAATCACAATTCCTTGAAATAAACCTCGTAATAGATAGATAGACAGATAGATAGACAGATGATAGACATAGATAGATAGATAGATAGATAGATAGATAGATAGATAGATAGATAACTTTGTTTCTCTGAAAAACCCTGACTAATACTAACATACAGAGTAATTTTTAATTCTTAAATAAATCTCAACTTTTGTACTTTTCTTTCCTTTTGTCCCCTTTCCAGCTTTTCTTCCTTTCCTTATATTTGATTATTGGTGAAGATAGAAAAAAAATACTGATTCAACATTAAAGTTCAAGCTTCAGACTTATTCTAAGAGAATTGTCTATCCTTCGGGTCGACAAACTCTATCTGTAAAGGGCCAGGTAGGAACTACTTCGGGCTTTGAGGTCCATCCATGTGGTATCTGCAGCAATTACACAACTCTGCTGTTGGAGTGTAAAGGCCACTGCGGAAAATGCAGAAATGAATGGTCATGGCTGTGTTTCCACACAGTGTATACATTTACTTAGGGACATGGATATTTTGAGCTTCATGTAATTTTCACACATCACAGAATATTATTCTACTTTTGATTTTTTTAGCCATTTAAAAATGTGAAAATAGCTTCTTCTCCAAGAAAACACCAAATGGCTGATGATGCTGGTGGTGGGGACAAAGACCCCAGAGGCCCTGGGATATAATTCTTTTAAAAAAATACAAAAATTAAAAGAACATATAAAAATAAAATTATTTTTAGCACAAGTACCTTAAAGAAACAGGCGGTAGGCCAGATTTGGTCCACTGGTCATAGTTTGCTGATCCCTGATCTAGTCAGTGCCCTCGGTTTCCAACTAGGAAAAGTATTTTTGTTATGTCTGATGTTTTGCTTCATGGTGAGGGATTTCTTATAGAAACTAGATTTTAACGAAGAACAACACAGTCCATATGCCTAGAGGACAACCAGGCTTTTCAAGGATGTTGCTAATTAATGACATTTTGAGTCATAGAGAAGAAAGGTCACTATTTCATTTTCAACACATTCTTGAGAACACTGCCAAGAGCATCCACTTATCAAAGATTGTACCCACCAATCATGACCTTCCATCTTTTCTTTTTGGTTTGCTTTGTTTTCTGCATGTATATTCAGTTGATTTTCTGGGAACATAAGCTACTGAAATCAATTTAGTGATCAACCATTATTATCTCCTTTACTCTTCCTGCCATCTTACAGCTCTCTGCTTTCCTGCAAGCAAGATGTCAGGACATTTTTATTGTATTGCTATTTACTCTTCAGCTCAATAGTTTTTTCAAAGCAGACACATCATTGACATTTAGCAGTATTAATCTCTGCCAGTGCAATATGCCTAATTGGTTTTAATGAAATAAAGAAGGAGAACTTTGTGGGAAAATTGGAAAAAAGCTGCAAAGAACTAAGATCTCTGTTTTCAGATATTTTCTAAAGTCAATGGCATTGACTAACAGAAAATAATGTGCCGCTAAATAGCATTTAGTCCTCTACAAATTGTCAAGGTTGTATGTTACTGAAAACAGGGGTGAGAGTCATTTCTATTATGAAATTTGTTTATTTGGAAAGGATTTGAATATCAAGCACAGACTTAGGGTAATAGAAAAGTAAGCATTCTATTAATAACTTTGCTAATAAAAACCTCTTACATCAACATAAAGATAATCACTGACTCCAAATGCAGACACACAAAAAGTCTGCATAGGCTGAAGAAAATCCGACGGTGATCCTATTGAAAAATCAGACTACAAACCTTCAAGTTATGTACATAGAATATCTTATCCAATGTTTTCTTTCTTTGTCATGAGATTTATTTTATAAGCTACTGCTAAGTATATATTTAGTAGATTTTTATTACATTGTTAAAATTATCTGTATAAAAAATGAAAGTTTAGAGACTGGAAGGTTATGTCCACATAACTCACCTTTATAGGCTTGGTTGACAGCTGTTTGAAATACCTCTAAGACACTAGGACAGATTCAGAACTACCTCAAAAGCAACATGGCTCAGTGAACCAAGCAATTGAGTGTAACTCTCGGGAATCTGTATTCTAACACTGATTTTTCTATTGCCTAATTTAATCTAATTTTAGCCTTTTCACATATGGAGCAGACTGATGTGGGGCAAATAATCATACCACCAGAATTGCAGAAAAAATAATGCAATTTACCAAGTACAACTTACCTTTCATCACCCTCCAGATCCTAACTCCTCAGCCATGCACATAGTGCAAAGGCTGCCACCCTCATGCCAAAAATGCATGCTTCAACAAAGCCTAGAATGATGACCTAGAAAAGCTAAGAACAAGTAGTTTGATTATTGAGAGAGAGGAAAATGGTCCTGCTCCCATACAAGTAATTGGGAGCAGGATTCAAAGCAATTTTTGAAATAAATTACCTCATCTATAAAATGTATTCTTTATTCTAATTCTTTATTATATTTTACTTGTCTTACTTTTCCCTTATAAGGTATGCATTTTTTTTAAGACTCAATATTTATTAGACTGGTAGATTCACTGATTTACTGAACATTTATATTAACGTACTCATCATAAGCAACAATTAGTTGTACCCTTATTATATTTTCTCTCATCACAATAGAATGCTCTCAAACCTACTCAATACCAGAATGCTCATTTTTCTTGGCATTCTCAAGACTTGGATCTTCACAAAAAAAGGTACCAGAGATTAACTGAGAAACATTATGAGCTCCTTTACAGATTGACCTGGAGAGAATAGAATGTTGCTATAGGCAGCCTACATGCCTTACGGTGCAAGCTAATAAATCTATGGATTGCAGGTTATCACATTGACTCAACCACTCTCAGTCATAACACTGCTGAAGAGGGCCTTTTCTTTAGCTGACTTGGTCTCTGCCATTGACAGTGCTATCCCTTTTTCTTTCTAGGGTAACTCTTCCAAATTCCCATTCCATCATTCTTACAGTACAAGTGCAATCTCTACTTCTACCCCATTATACTCTTGCTAGCTCAGGGATTTCATTATCCTACATAGAGGGCTAATACTTCAGCAAGAAGTGGACTAGAAAATCCATGAAGCCTTCCACCACAAAAATTATTTAGCTTTGCAATTTTTTAACCCAGTTGAACATGTTAGTAAAATCAGAAGCTGTGAAGCATGGAATTCTAAATTGAGACTACTGAAAAGTATCACAAGAACAAAAATAAGAGTATGATGTCACTCTGGCTTTTTAAAATATCTAGAAATAATTTACATGCTTTCAGTAACTATATCATACATAATTTTAATATGACTTTATATTTAAATAGCACTTTATAATTTTAAAATATCACATATATTATTTGATTTCTATAACTGCTTCTATTGCATTTCTTCCTGTAAGAGAGATGTCTTCAAACATTATAAAGGTTTTAATCAAATGGTAACAATATGCTAAGAATCTCTAATGAAATCTATTGTGAATGTGAATATAAATGCATTTGACAATTGCAAAATCAGTTGGTTCTCTAAAATATAATTTACATTTCCCAGGCTTTTTTGCATCTTAGAATTTCTAATCCCCCAAGAGTATCATTCTTTTATAAAAATGACCAGAACCTTCATGCCAACAACACTTAAATCTATACCTCAATGCCTAAACTAAAAATAAATATGCATTTTGAGAGAAATAAAATGATCATTAACTGTTTAGTGTAAATATCCCAAAATGACTCATTTTGTTCACTTAAGAATCCTATTACTCATGGTACTGTTAATTCCAGAATTTTTTTGAACATTTGGGCTGTTTGTGAGCTAGAATAAAACTGTGAGTGCTTGAAGAAGCCATGGAGATTATTTCACGCTAACCATTCATTTAGCAGAAAGGGAAAGGGAGAGATCAGGTGACTTGCCAGAACTAAAATACTCATCAAGTGATAGAGTTTAGATCTGAATGCAGAACTTATGACTCCCAAGACCCCAGTCAGCTTCTATGGCAGAATTTTCACTTGGAGCCTGCTATAATAACTCTAGATGAGCCACATGACAACTTTGTTTTCCAGAAAAAAAGTTAAAACATCATCATTGTTATTGTTTATCTAGTTACTTTCGTATGTTGTATCTAACCTTTAAAATTAAAGAAGACTGTTTTCTTCTTTATTCTACCCTGAACTACTTCAGAAATTTGGGAAGTATACATAACTTCTGTGAATTATCCATTATTACCTTCTTCATTATGGAACTTAGTTAAGTTTCTAAACATTTTGCCATGCTGATATTTTGGAGTACAGAAGCCAGACAAGACAAGGGTCCTGTCTCTGCAAAAACTTATCAAGCCAGAACACCATGGGTTCCATGGAAATGACTCAGATGCCCCAAGAGGATTAAGAGGTTGGAGCAATCTCTCTTCCTTCTTTTAACCCTCTAACCTCCAAGTACCTCCACTATATTAACAAAACAGAAGAAAATTTTAAAATGTAGAGAAATTCTGTTCTATTTTCATCAGCTCCTACTTTCTTGAGACAGGAAGGTAAAGTGACCAGTGCCTTTCACTTGGAAAATAGAAACAAAAAGATCATATAACTTTGGGCAATTATCCTAAAATGTTTGGAATCACTTCATTACATAGGCTTAGTATGCCATATTCTGTGAACGAGTTTGAGATTCCCATGTAGCTTCTGAGCTGCAGCATTCCTCACTTTATCTTGACTTGTTGAACCAGTGTTACATTTGAGTTTCTGACTCAGGCCCTCTACCAACAAAGTATCCCTCTGATGCAAGGATCCCTATGCTGGCATCAGGCCATCTGGCTGGATCAGCTTACCCTTATCAAGAATCCTGTTTTTCCAGGTGTCAGCTGGGATCCCACTGTGAATGGAGCTGACTATCCAGAAAAAAATTGTGTCACCCTTTTTCCTTTCTGCCGTAACCTCTCAGCAATACTGAATGTCCTCATACCCACATTTGTCTTCACCATACCTTGGTTTACTGTGCCTTTCGAGCATTGTTGGTGGGACCACTTGAATAACTACAAGGGCAGCCACTCATAGAACACATACTTTCTTGGCTGGATTTCCCTGAAAGCAGAGTCTCAGATAAGAACTTGAGTGCAGGTAGTTTATTTGATAGATGATCTCAAGAAACAGGAGAAAAGGAGGGGTAGACTGAGACACAGAAGAATAAAAAAGCTAACAAAAAATTGTATTGAGGTCACAACTATGAGGCAGATTGGCTTGAACTTTTGAAATCTTCTCAGAGCATGAAAAATAAAATAATCTAGAATTGTTCCTCTAAAAGATGGTGGGGTAGACTACATATGTTCTTGTGGTATCAGAGAACCTCTAAGCAGAAAATGGAAATATGTATTGCCAGCTCTGTATGGGTCAGCATAAGGTGAATTGGAGCTTAAAGAAACTGTCTACTAAAACTACAGCTAAAATCAGATCTGTGCAAGGGAATGTGAGGCAGGCACCCAAGCCCTCTGCTGCATCATCTTTCCTTGTC
This sequence comes from Homo sapiens, assembly GCF_000001405.40. NCBI lineage: Eukaryota > Metazoa > Chordata > Mammalia > Primates > Hominidae > Homo > Homo sapiens. Next base: position 129,822,174 of record NC_000004.12, on the reverse strand, counting down.
CCAGTTTCCTTTTCCTGTCCAGGGAGTACATGTGCCAAAGGGCCCACAAAACCTTAAATACAAGTCATGTTATGACACCAGAGAAATCTAGCACATGTTATGACACCAGAGAAATTTAACACATACTCAACTATTTTTACACATATAACTAAGGTAAACAAGTGATGCTAATTGTGAGAGATTCTACCAAATGCCTGTGAGAATGATCATTTGAAACTAAGAGAGAAATCATGGCTATCGATTTTATTTTTACATCTGGAAAACACAGATCAAGCAGGAATAACCTGTATCAGAATGATAGGAGATATCAAATATCTATCTTAGGCTGCTAGTTAACAAGCTAACAAGTTTACAACAGAATGGTCAGTATATTTTTTTTATATCTCAAATAACCAAAGCTACAGGTCACAGGGGGTGGCGAGGAGACTTGTAATAATTGCAGCTGTGAAACAATAGCCTTAGTCCAAAAATTTTAAATTATTCTGAGATGGAGAAAGGTTGATTTGAGGAATTTAAAAAATGACAGTTGTATAAAACTAGTATTGTAAAACATTAAATAGCTGTTATTATAACTGCTTACAATTAAGGCCATTAAGCTTTGGAAACAGAAAGGTAATATGATACACCCAATGGGACAGAGGCAAAATTTGGCAGAGTCAGATGTTTCAGTCCAGGTTTGTCAGCTTTTAAAGCCAATGCTCTTTCTTTTTATTTTTAATTTTTTTAAAAAATTTTCAGTTCAGGGATATATGTGAAGGTCTGTTACATGGATATATTGGGTGATGCTGACATTTGGGCTTCAGTTGAACCTGTCACCCAAATAGTGAACATAGTACCCGATAGGTAGTTTTTCACCTCTTCCCTCTCCTACTGGTGTCTACTGTTTCCACATTTATTTTCATGTGTCACCAGTGTTTGGCTCCTATTTATAAACTAGAACATGTGATATATGGCTTTCTGTTTCTGTGTTAATTCTCTTAGGATAATAGCCTCCAGATGCATCCATGTTGCTGCAAAGCACATAATTTCAGTCTTTTTTCTGGCTGCACAGTATTTCATGGTGTATATATACCATATTTTCTTTATCCAATCCCAGTTTATAGACACCTAGGTTGATTCTACGTCTTTGTAATTGTGAATGGTGGTGCAACATGCAATTGCATGTGTCCTTTTGGTAGAATGATTTATTTTTCTCTGAGTATATACTCAGTAATGGGATTGCTGGGTTAAATGGTAATTCTATTTTTAGTTCTTTGAGAAATCTCTAAACTGCTTTCTATAGAGACTGAACTGCTTTCTATACAGACTGAACTAATCCTACAAACAATGTATAAGCATGCCCTTTTCTCCACAGCCTCACCAACATCTGTTATTTTTTTATTTTTCAAAAATATCCATTCTGACTGCTGTGAGATGATATTTCATTGTGGTTTTGATTTGCATTTCTCTGACAGTTAGTGATGATGAGCATTTTTTCATGTTTGTGGCCATTTGTCCAACTTCTTTTGAGAAGTGTCCATTCATGTCCTTTGCCTACTATTTTTATAATATGTATTATTTTATTTTATATCTTTATATGTTTGTTTCAGCTAGAATTTATTTTGCCGTAGGTGTCTAGTAATCCAGCTTTATTTTTTCCCATATGGTAGGCCAGTACTCTTTTTTTTTTAAGCAAATTCAATTATGTTATATGTGTACATTTATGGGGTACAAGTCTTTGCCTATTTTTTAATGTTTTTTTTTCTTGTTGATTTGTTTTGGTTCTTCATAGATTCTGGATATTAGTCCTTTGACAGATGCATAGTTTGCAGATATTTTCTGCCATTCTTTAGATTGTCTGTTTACTCTGTTGATAGTTTGTTTTGCTCTGCAGAATCTTTAGTTTAGGTCAAAGTTGTCAATTTTTGTTTTTGTCATAAATTATTTACCTAGATCAATTTCCAGAGAGTATTTCCTAGGGTTTCTTGTAGGATTTGTATAGTTTAAGGTCTTACATTTAAGTCTTTAACCCATTTTGAGTTAATTTTTGCATACGGTAAAAGGTAGGAAATAAAAAAAAGCCTGAATAGCCAAAGCAATTTTAAGCAAAAAGAACAAAACCAGAGGCATCACATTACCTGACTTCAAATTATACTACAAAGCTACATTAACCAAAATAGCATGGTACTGGCACAAAAAAATAGACATAGGTCAATGTCAATGGAACCAAATAGAAAATGCAGAAATAAAGCTACACACCTACAACCAACTAATGTCTTACAATGTCGACAGAAATAATAGAGAAAGGACATCCCATTCAATGAATGGTTCTGAGAATGCTGGAAAACCATATACAGAGGAGTGAAACTTGACCCTACCAATGTTCTTTCTACTCTTCTAGAGAGCAGCTCAAGCCTTCTAATGATTGCACATGTTACAATGCACTCTCCGGTTATGGGAAATATGACATTTTTAAAAAATATACAACAGAAAATAGTTCAAATTGTTTCAAAATTATTGGATAATTTCATTATTTTACATATGAAATTCAAAGTTTTCAGTTTTATGTAAAGTAACTGTAAAGGCAGAAATTCAATTATGCCCTGGTGATACACAAATTTTCCCTTTGTCAAACCTATATGAGGTACAATTTTAGGGACACAAAACTCAGATTTATATAAACTGGGTATATAAATATTCTAAAAATATATGAAAACTTACACATTATTAACAGTTTTAGCCATACTATTTCTAAAAATAAGTACTTGAGTTTAAACTCTAGTATTTGTAATATATGTTATGTTTGACACATTTTCTTGGTCTTACAACACTAGAAAGGAATATCAAGATGAGGACAACTTCAAAGTTGAAATAAACCCTGAATGAAGAGAAAAACTGGGAGGCTTTATGAGGTGGATCAAAGTGTAAAAGGAAATAAGTCAGAACGAGAGCTATGATCATCTGTAAGAGAAGTTTCTGCCAACAGTCTGAATATTTAAGAGTATAAAACAGTTAATGGTGGAAGAAAAAGAAATGACAAGTACTATGATGTTCACTTAAAAGCTAGCATTGATATCTAGAGGCAAAAACAAACTCTGAGAAAGGAACTTAATTATCCAAAATACAGACAGAGATCTATGACTGTTTCAACTCTTGCTAATCAAAGAGGTGGGCTTGTCTACATCACTAGTAGTAAGTTCTTGAGCAACGTACTGCCATCCCAAATATGTTTAATTAAATAATCTGTAAGGATATAATGAATATACTAGACATCCCAACTTGGACAAAGTAGGAATTCAGATATGTTTGAGCATGTCTCCTGAACTAATGATTGAGAAAAAAGGAGCCAATTTGCATGGCTGATTTTAGCTACAGACAGAAGATAGTTTTATTCAAGTAATTTCTGTGGGTTAGGGGAAAATATATTACCCTGTCAATGTTCAATACCTTTCCTCTTCCTGACCTTATAGATTTGTATCCGAATCTAGAGATGCAGCTGAAGTTAAACAAACTTTTCTCTCCAAAATATGCTGAGATTCAGAAGCACAGATTGGGAAGGAGCTCTCTCTAAGGAACATACTTGGCTTTGCTGCAGTCATGACTGCAGAGCATGTACTCATGGGTCTAAAGCTTTGGCAGTTAAAATACTTTGAATACAGTGTGTTAGGAAGAGTTTTAATTGCAAGTAATAGAAAACAGAAAAACAATGAATCAGACAAATTTATCTTACACAGTAAAAAGTACAAGAAGGTAAGCCATTAGGAGTGGCAGTTCTCCTGCTCAGAAATCATCCGTACGTAGGATCGTTGCATACTTTTGCTTCATCATGCCCAGTGCATGACTTTTCATCTCCATGTTTATTGCTACATGATCGCAGAGATGGTGCTGCAACTCCAGGTATCACATCTATGCTCAGCATCATTTGATCATTTTATAAGGAAAGAAAAAGACATTCCAGAAACCCCTAATCCATATCACCACCAAATGACTTTCTTCCCCAGTGGGGACAGAACTGTGCCACAGGCCCAGCCCAAGATCTCAAGAAGGTTTTCCACCCTCTGTGGTGGAAAGTGGTAAGAGAGAAGGCTTCATCCACATAAATTAATAACTCACTCAATACTTTTTATTATTGAATGTGTGGCAGGATTTAAATGTTTGTATTGTTTTAACATTAAAAGCTGCTGTTTTATTTTCTTTCTTTCATTTATCATACAAGAATGAATTGAGAATGCTTTTTCTCTCTCCCTGAAGTTAAACTTTAAAGTCTCAAAGAAAGGCAAAGTCATTTTCAATATGATTCAGATCTGGGTTATATGAGCCTTCAAGACTATCACAAAAGAACTAGAGGACAGTTGCATTTGAGAAGAAATGAATGTGAGGGTGCCTCTGAAGGAAACCAGAAAAGAGGGGAAGGATCCTCTAAAAATAAGAGAAGGGCAGAGGAGTTAAGGAGGAGCTGAGGTTTGAAGTGGGACCCCACAAGTGATCTTGGAGAGTTTCCTAGAAGGGAAAGGGCCTAAGCCTGGAAAGTAATGGGTGGGTAGATACAGAAAAGGTCCTCCAGTTCCCAGTAGCCATTTGGAGATTGAGTCACCCAGGGAATGCCCAGTGTTCACTTTGGAAATTATTTCACAGGATTATTACTCATCAAATAAAAACGTGAAAATAAAAATCAGTGTTAAAGGAAGAAAATCAGTGTTTTTAAAAAATCAAATAAGAAGCCAAAGATAGGCTTAGAATAAGACAACAGAGAGCTCAATAAAGAAGGAATAATTATCAAAAACTGTCCAGAAGAAAACAGACTAAAATGAATTTTCTCATTTGTTACAAATTACTTTGTTTGATATGGAATTAGAAGAAAGAAAACAGTACAAAATTCAAGAAAAATAATTACTTGGAAAATTAGCTCTTATTTGAGGCTTTCGGTAAAGGGTCAGGACTCCTTTCTCTATAGTTAAGGTTTCTATTCTTTTCTAATTAGGGTTACAATGGCTCTTCTGAATTTACAATATACTTTTACAAACTACGGAGTTTCAAGATTGTCAGGTATTGAGCTTCTCTTTATCCCTCTCCCAAAGGCTGCTTCCTCTCATTTGTTCCTTTAGTGGTGACATATAAAGTAAATTGAATTTATGCTAAAACCTGAGTAGCAAGAACTGGCATTTCTTTCAAATAATATTCTCATCTACAGACATTCAGACGTGTATTTTTATAACCCTTTGAGACCTTTAAGTCTTTTACTCATTTACCCTTGTCTGCTTCTACTTGCTCCTCAAGACTGTTTTATGATTATGGGATGACCATGTTCCCACCCACAGAGTCTGAGCCCACTTCTCCTTAAAGCTTCATTTTCCTTATCCTCCAATGACTTTTGAGTTTGGGCAGGTGAACGTGGGGTTGTTACTGGAGCTTAACAATATTCAATGATTGATTGCTATTTTTTATCTTCATTATATGGGAAATGTTTATGCCTTACTCCATTACATTTTTTTAAGCAAATGCTGGAAAAGAGCAGTTGCTTTCTTCCCTTAATCCTGTAGTCTTATAGATCTCACCACATCATTGAGTCTGCTACTTCTATTTTTACACTTTTCATTTAGCACTCAACCTTCTGTTGCCTGATTTTCAATGCTGATGCTCAGCATCACAAAATAGACAGAGTGGTAAGAAGGCAGGAATGGCATATGTGTGCATGCACGTGTGCACATAGACACATACTCGCTCACACACTCACACCAGAATCTCTTGAAAAGAGCCAATTTTAACAATAAAACTGGAAAAGGCACACAGGAGAATTCTCAATTTGCAGTATCTGGTCCATTTGCTGGTCAGGCAATAATATCTAAACTTTTTGAATATTTCTACTGGTGAAGACTTAACTTTTATTTTTTGCTACTTTATAAGTATTTCTCCTGGCACATCAATATCTGAAATCTAATATTTTTGCATGTTGATTATTTCCCCACTTTCAGTTGCAAGACCTCTTTGCTTCTCTAAAATTGTTCCATTATTAATGATGTTAAAGTACTCAGTTTCAAAAGGTTAAAATAATGACTCATTTATTTTAACCTTTTCTTCTTCAGATTTTTTTTGTGTCTAGGCATTTATTTTTTACTCCTGCAATCATAGATCTCGTTTCACTTGTAAACACTCTGTGATTGAACTGTAGCTGGAGCTATTGGACTATAGTCAACTTCTCCCACTGATTTACATGTTGCAACCAATTTATTCATTTTGGCTTCTACACTGACTCTAACTTATCTTTCAAACTAAACTGAAATTCCTAATCATAAATAGTAAGTTAATTACGTCCTAATATCCCTCAAGTATAACCTTGTACTTACATATTTTCTATATTGTGATTTTTTTTTCTCCTACAAGTACCATAGATGGGGCATCACAAATCCTGAGCCAAATAAATCAAATTTTGAATCCCAACTCATGTGTAGAGAGCTGCTCTTCTATTTTTCCACTGGATTTTCTTACCCGGTTTTAAAAAGTCACTTCTTTCATAAAGCTTTCTCAAATTAATGCTGACTTTAGATAGTTAATCTAACTATCTAACAAATTCCATTGTTGTGGTGACCAGGATAATTGGTTGTCATAAACTGGAGCTAAAGACAATACTTACAAATATACAGAGAACAATGGTTTATCTCATCATGAATTGTAAATCTTTTCATACTGTATCCACAAAATCATTTCATTAACTGAGGAGCTATGCTGATTATAGACATTGAATGTGTCTTCATATATCTGTGCAAATGTTAAAATTTCAGAAATCTTGCATTTCACATCAGGAGGCAGGCTCAACAGATGCTTCCATATGCTAACACCCCTTGTTAAGGCAGAAGGTGTTAATTAAACAAATAATTTATAATAATGCATATGATTTAAAATATCAAAATGAATTCATCTGTTGTGTTCTCTCTGTGGTGGCTGCTAGCCAGGATGGGGCTTTTATTCACAATAAATACGTTTGCAGACCTGGTGTCACATGTATGAATGTGTACAGGTAAAAGAGTTAATATATTATAAATATTCTCATTACAGAGAGATTGCAAACTTGCCACAAAGAAACATTTCATGGAAAATTGACCGGAGATATTTAAAGTAGGCATAGCCTAGGGCCACACAATGTCTAATTAAGCCCTGGTATTATGGTAAATTGTTCTAGAGCCTTAAATGTGTGTGGTAGAAGTAAACCCATAGGACTTTGAAACTTACAAGAGGTGGGGCAAAGAGAGATGCTTCAAAATCTACTCTGACACTCAATGAGACCTTTGAGGGAAAGGATCAATTTTCTTGTTGAAACATCTCTTCCACTCCATTTCAAGTGTCCTGGCCAAATCCAGGGTTCTGTGCTCAGACTCACATTGGGATTCATAGGCTATAAAACTGGTACAAATGTGGGAAAGAATGAGCTATGGCTTTAGGAAATCAAATTTGTGTTTTAGGGGAATAAAGTCTACAATACCAAGAAACAGTGCCAGTTGCCATGAATAAGCATGGCATCAAAAGTGGCAGTCTGCAAAAATAGCACAGAGCAAGTGGCTTTAGTGGGTAGCAATTGGAAGGGATTCCCTGAGATAAGAGATAAATAGAATGTTTTTGAGGAGTTCATGTGACTCAGTTACTAAGTGGAGTCATGGGTGTGGAGGTGGAACTGATCAGGGTGAGTAAAAACTTGTCCTAGTTCAGATCCTCAGCACCTCAATACAGAAGTCAAAAACTCAATTTTTCCAGTTTCCTTCAATTCTCCCCTCCCTCCCTCCCTCTCTTTCTTTTCTTCCTTCCTTCCTTCTTTCCTTCTTTCCTTCCTTCCTTCTTTCCTTCCTTCCTTCCTTCCTTCCTTCCTTCCTTCCTTCCTTCCTTCCTTCCTTCCTTCTTTCTTTCGACAGGATCTCACTCTGTCACCCAGGTTGGAGTGCAGTGACACTACCTCGGCTCACTGCAACCTCTGACTCCAAAGTTCAAGCGATTCTCCTGCCTCAGCATCCTAAGTAGCTGGGATTACAGGTGCCTGCCACCCAGCTAATTTTTGTATTTTTAGTAGAGATGGGGTTTCACCATGTTGGCCAGGCTGGTCTCGAACTCCTGGCATCAAGTGATCCGCCCACCTCGGCCTCCCAAATTGCTCCAATTACAAGCATGACCCACCGCGCCTGGCCCATACATTCCCCTTTTCTAACTGATTCTATAATTACCTTTCTTAAATATGTGGCTTGAAATTTGATCCCCAATGTTGGAAGTGAGGCCTAATGGGAAGTGTTTTGATTTTGGGGACAGATTCCTCATAAATGGATTAATTCCCTCCCTGGGGTTGGGGGATTGTGATTAGTTCCCTTGAGAAGTGGTTGTTAAAAAGAGTCTGGCATCTCTATCCTCTCTCTCCTATTTACTCTCTCACCATGTAATCTCTGCACACACCAGCTCCCCTTCACCTTCCACCATGAGGGGAAGCAGCCTGAGGCTCTCACCAGCTGCAGATGGCCAATCTTGAACTTTTCCAGACTTCCAAACTGCGAACCAAATAAACCTTTTTTAAATATAAATTACCCAGCCTCAGGCATTCCTTTATAGCAATACTAAACAGACTAAGTCAGTTGTAAATGTGACAGTTTTTTCAGCTAGATTTTGAGATTTTGTGGGCAGAGATCAAGGGTTTTCATTTGGTATTTCTATCACCTGACCCAGTCTCTTTCACATAGCCAGGGCTTAGAAATATTTAAGGATATGCATTGGACATAATTTTTTTAATGAAGTTTCCAAATCTGTGCAGTTAGAGAAACACAAAACGGATGTTGATTAATTAATCACTGTCAGCTGAAAGAAATGTCTCTACTTAAATACCACAAGATTCTGTATTCACTTTGTTTCATCAACATTATGATCCATTCACAAAGAAAAAGAATAGTTAATATACCAGATGGTAGAATTAATGTGAATAAAAAATATAATAAATTAGAATAAATGACTCAAAACAAAGCAAAACAAAAACAAATCAATGTAACATGGCTAAACTTGAGAGTTTTTTCTTAATTACATTTGAGAGAAAGATTTAACTTCAAATAAGTTAACAGAAAAAATGTATTGGAAAATTTTAGTTGAACACAAGCTGTACAAGTCTCTCTTTTAATCTCATTACAAAGAGGCTATATAATCTGAGGGGCATGATAAGGTGCTTAAAACAATAAGATAAATGACTATTATATTAATTAGTGGTTTCTTGCCTCCAGAATCATCTTTGAGACAAATGCACACTGAAGAGATTTTCAACTTAAAACTTTTCTCATAAGAATCCAGAATCTACTTTGAGCAGGATCTTTATATTTTTATAGATTGTTATTAGTAGTAATAGCATTGTCATTGATATAAAACTTTTAATAGTAGCATTTGGGGTGCCAGTCTTATTACATTAACTTTAATACATACCTAAAATAGATGTCTGCAGGTTCATCTTGATTTATACCACAGTGTAATAGGTTTTCTATAGAAACTTTGCTTCTCTCTAATGTCAGTATTGTTTGTTTTCTTAGAAATAATGTAAGAAATAATAAGTTTTAACTTAATAATGCATATTGTTTTCATAGAATATCATACTACACAAAAATTTAGAAACCATTTAGAACATTAGATTCAAAGTCTGGAAATGGCTTCTAAACCAAAATTAAGCTATTAAACGGTTATTTTCTTAGGAGGTATTTGCACATATAATCAAGGATGAAATCTAATTACAGATTCTAAATGAGCTTTACTGATAGTATTCCATTATTAAATCAGTCTTCTGTGGTTATTGGAGTTTTTCATTCAACCATCTGTTGTGAAAATACAAACAAAACAGAATAATACTTCATTTGTGATTTCTGTTTATTTATTCTGCATATGTTCTTGCCCTCTAGTACTAGCACTTATTGATTTCACTTTTTCATTTTATAATGCTACACTGCCCACCAGGTGACCCATGGACTAGACTATGAGTCAGCTTCATTTACTGAAGTATATCCAGTTTTAGTGCAATAACAGGCACATAAACATGGGTGAGTTTTCATTGACTGAATTTTGAAAGGGAAGTAATAAGAGATGTCTTCTATCAGGTATTCCAAATTTACCCCCAACCCCCTTAGTACCTTGCTTTTTGACCTGGTACCCTCTGGCTTTGGGGTCAGTCGATCAAGACATCTTAGAAGAGATCTGGGGAAGAAAGGGGAGCAATTAAAGCAAATTTATTCTCCTGGCTTCCCCCTGAAAGCTCATCTCTGTCTGGCTGTGTCCTTTACTAGTCTTCTCAAAACAATGAGATCTACACAACTTTCTCTTCTTGGCATTCTGACTTTTTTAATTAGAAATTCATGGTCTAGATGTAATGGCATTTGCTATTTACATCAATCCCATCACATTTATTTTCACTTAGATGCATAGATGTGAAAAAAATTGGAAAATAAACTAAAAAGACTTAAATATTATAATCCTGGGTTTGGAGACAGCAAAGATATTATGCTAGGCACCTTTATTATATGCAAATATAACAGCATACTAGGATAAAACTGGCTTGACACTGAAATTGTCACTGTGAGTTGCTATATAGGGGGATTTTCTGTATACCTGTATCCCCTAGAAATTAAGGTGAGCATTGGCAGGAGATACCTGATCTGGGACTTTGGATATTGGCCATCTTCTTGTCTCAGTAACGCAACTAACATCTGGCAAAATTTGGCAGAAATGAAGTGAGTATATGCACAGGGGACAATTGATACTGGTTGTGCGGGAGGAATAAGCTAACAAAGAAACCTCAAACAGCAAGAACAGATGTACTTCCCAATGGCCATATCCCCTATGGAGAAAGCAAACTCCCTGCACTAAGAGACATTCTAGTTTGGTGTCTTTAGTTAGTAAGAAAATGGAAGTGATTGAAAAATGGATCAAAGACTTTGGTAAGAGAAATCTAAGCATGATATGATGCAAAAATGCTTAATGGTCTTATCAAATATTAATGGTAGACATGACTTTATATAATTCATGCTTATCTCATTTTTCAATTGGAATGAGTAACTTGCAGGTTATTACCCTAAGCCAGAGTGTTTTAGTCCATTTTCATGCTGGCAATAAAGATGTACCAGAGACTGGGCAATTTACAAAACAAAGAGGTTTAATGGACTTACAGTTCCACATGGCTGGGGAGGCCTCACAATTATGGTGGGAAGCAAGGAGGTGCAAATCACATCTTACGTGGATGGTGACAGGCAAAGAGAAAGAATTTGTGTAGGGAAACTGCCTCTTATAAGACCATCAGATCTTCTGAGACTTGTTCAGTATCACGAAAACAGAACAGGAAAGACCTGCCCCCACGATTCAATTACCTCCCGTTGGGTCCCTCCCACAACACATAGGAATTCAAAATGAGATTTGGGTGGGGACACAGCCAAACCATACCACAGGAGTAATTAAACTTTTTCTATAAAGGGCTAGTTACTAACTATGTTAGATTTTAGACTTTGCAGGTCAAGAGACAAAATTCAGAAAACTCTAGGTACTTACATAACAAAAAAATAAAAACAGATATCCACAAAATTTTAATTGAAAAAATTCAAAATATAATAATAATAAAAATTGAGTATAATTTCTGTAATACACACCTACTAATTATAATAGAATTCTTTTGGGGGGAAGATAACATTTTTGATTAATTAGGATTTAAAGTTAATTCCCTATCATCATGGTAGAATCATGGTCTCATTCTACAAAGTCTTTCCTTGCTTCGATAAAGCAAGTGCTCTTCATTCTGAATTATATCAGAATATGTTTCCTGCTTCTCTCTTGTTCAAACTTAATAGATTGCCATCACAATCTTTCTTTCACGTAAGAAAGCAAGTTAAAACCATAGCTTCTGTGGAACCCTCCTTGGGTTTCAGTTCCAGCTGACTGACTTGTAATCTTTGACTACTTACTTAACCTATATAGAAGTCTCAGTTTTTTCATCTAAAAATTACTGATAGTATCTACTTCACAGGTTCATGGTAAGGCTTAAGTGAGTTAACAAATGCAAAAGTTTAGAACAGTCAGTGCATGGCTATTGTCAAAACAGTGAATATAAATAAGTATTCTTCTTTTGATATTTTTTCAACCATATAAAAATATAAAACTATTCTTAATTCATGGTTCTCACAAAAACAGCCATAGGACAAGATTTGGCTCACAGTCTATGGTTTGTGGACTTCTCCTCTAACTGATCATAAGCATCACAGTATCCTCACTTCCTACTTTTTAGACATAGAGACTTACTTAACTTTCATCCTTTTAATGCAATTGAGATTCATCAGCAGGTGATAATTGCTACGTATCCACCTACATGGAAGGTTGTGTCAATGCTTTTATCAGAGTAATTTTAAACTAAATTCTATTCAGAAACTTTGAATTGAGAAATTCCCTTTGTTCTCCTGTCATCTATTGCCATTCACCAGGTATAACTCTCTCTTAATATCTTTCTTCTATATTACTTTCATTTCAGCCTTTGTCCATACATCTAGCTCCTTGGTTTATTTCTCCATCTTAATTTGAACTCTCTTTCTATATTCAGAAGTCAATACCATATCTTCTTCCTAGTGGCAGTTTATTGCTGTTTCTAGCTCATTGCATCACACACTTCTTCAAAATTCATTCCTTCTAATGCAAATCAAAACCACAATGTGATAACACCTTACTCCTCCAAGAATGGACATAATCAAAAAATCAAAAAATAACAGATGTTGGCATGGATGCAGTGAAAAGGGAACAATTTACACTGTTGGTGGGAATGTAAACAACCACTTTGGAAACAGTGTGGAGATTCCTTGAAGAACTAAAAGTAGATCTATCATTTGATCCAGCAATCCCATTACTGGGTATCTACCCAGAGGAAAAGAAGTCATTATATGAAAAAGATACCTGCACACAAAAATATGGAACCAGTCCAAATGTCCAGCAATTAACAAGTGAATAAAGAAAATGTGGTATGTGTGTGTATATATAATGGAATACTACTCAGCCATAAAAAGGAATGAAATAATGGCATTTGCAGATTTGCAGCAACTGGAAGAAATTGGAGACTATTATTCTAAGTGAAGTAACTCAAGAATGGAAAACCAAACACTGTGTGTTCTCACTCATGTGTGAGATCTAGGCTATGAGGGCACAAAGGCATAAGAATGATACATTGGACTTTGGGGACTCAGGGAAAGGTAGGGGGTGGAGAGGGTAAAAGACTACACATTGGGTACAGTGTACACTGCTTGGGTGATGGGTGCACCAAAATCTCAGAAATCACCAATAAAGAATTTATTCATGTAACCAAACACCACCTGTTCCCCAAAAACCTATTGAAATAAAAAAATTAAGCAGCCAAGGACAACACATTAAAAAAATTTCTTCTTTAATGTCCTCATAATTAGTCTAATGTTCCTCTCCATTGAATTCCTACGCATTCATTACAGAGTTTTGTACCTAGTTTACCCTATTGGTCACGCCTTCAGGGCTTGCTATTATCTTGCAGTTCTTTAATTTCCTTGTATTTGACACATGTAACAAACCAACCTCACAGATCCTGGACCTCTTAAGTTCTAATTACCTTTCCCTCCATTCAACTTTTTCCTTTCACCTATGACCATCCCACTGCAGAAACATAACACTCCAACTTTATAGTCTCACATTATTCCCTGTTAAGAGTATTTATTCAGTGATACAACAACATGATTTAGAGCATGATGTAAACTTATGACTAGGGTATTACTGTAGTCTGGAGTGATCACAAACACTTCCCTAAGGAAGTGATACCTAAGCTGGCTTCAGAAACATTACAGTTATTTGTGTTAAGAGGTGGGAGAAGAGAAAGAGCATTTCGGAAAGTGAGAAAAGCACATGGTGAAGTTGCTGAAGCAAGAAGAGAGACCAGTACACCCAAATTAAAGAAATTACTTGTATGGAGGGCAGAGTCACTGGTGTGAGATTTGGTTTGAGAAGGTGGCAGAGATCAAAGTTTAAAAACCATGATTAACGATTTCAGGTGTGTCTAGTTAAGTATTGAAACATTTTTTAGTTTCACTGTGAAGTGTGAATTGGAGAGCAGGAGAGAAGGAAGGCAAGACTGGGAGATTAGTTAAAATGATATTTCACAAGAATTTTTGGGAGTGGGAATAAAAAGTAGTAGATTTGAGAAATATTTTTAAGAAAAATGTACAGAGCTACATAGTTATTGGATATGGGAAATAAAGAAGAATGATATTTAAGCCTGAAAAACAGGTTTATAGCTGGAGCTAAGGCAAATGATGATGGCGTGTGTAAGGTACATCCAAAGGGGAGCACCTCTGGCAGCAAGAGAACCATGGGGCACAATGTGCTGAAGTAGATATTAGAAATGAAAATGGCAAATTTAGAGGAATGGGCTGAAGAAATAATTAAATGGCCCCCAGCATATAGATGAGAATTGAAAGAAATGTGAGGGTCTTACCAGACATCATCCTAAATCCTTTTTTCTTTTTACCTAGCATTTCATATTCAATCAGTTAAGTCCAGTCAACTCCATTTTCTAAATCTCTTTCCTATCCATGCTTCTGCTTCCATCAGACTTCAGGTGCACTGGTTTCGACATTTATCATCTCTTTACTGGGCTATTGGAGTCACACCTCACCCCTCAGTCTCACCCCTGTTCAAGTTATTTATCCACACTGCCATCAGAGAAATCAAACTTACAATTAAATGTACTATATTCCTCAACTGCTCAAAATTCTTGAATTGCCTTGCACTTCTATGAAGAGTGAAATTTGTATTTATTTTCATGGCATGCACTGCCCTATAAGATCTAGACCTCACTACTCAGCCAGCTCTTTACCCTCAATTCTTCCCTCTGTGGCACTTAATTCTTCAACAATCTGAACTGTAGTACTCAAACATTCCAAGTTTCTTCAAGGTTCTGTAATTGTGGGTTTGTTATTTATTTGGTCTCTTTTGCCTGGAAGATATTTTCCTATTATTCAAGTCTCAACAAGTAAAAGGAATTTTCTCTGTAAACAAACCTGTTCCTTTTATGGTCCCATTGCCTTTTGCATTTTTCCATATTTAGTGCTTATGTTTGCTTTTCAGGCCACCCACTATGCAGTAAATAATTTGAGGGCAAAGTCTGTGTCCTAGGATTTTTGGATCCACAATAACCAGTATAGCCTGAGAGGAAGCATTAAAAAAAATTCGGTTTTAAATGAATGGAAATTCACATTTAGCATTTAATTTGTTTTATTGCACATCAATACATTGGAACACAGCAAGTTATTTTGTGAGATTCTCCATTTCTGGAAAATTATCATAAACCCTATTTGAAATTTTGTTTATAAGAGTTAAAACATAATGACCTCATTTATATTAAATCTGTGAATTCCATAAGACCTTTATTATGGGCTAACTTTAGATGACATACTTTCTATTGAAATAGAATATTGTGTAACTTCTCTAAATTGCTGAAACACATGCCTTGAGAAGAGGCATGGAAGAAAAATGCTGCAGAAAAACATGATATGGAGGGATTTCAAAAGAAAAACCACAGTTGAGTGCAGGTAAAAATCTCATATCATACAACTGTGAATAAATTTCACAGTCTACAGTCTAATTACATTGTGCATTTCACTAATGGCTCTGTCCCCAGAGGGCCTCTTGGGAATCAACTGGCAGATTTTACTGGGCCCAGAGTGAATTTTAATGTGGTGAAAAGGTAGTACCTTCACAGTCTTACCTATTGAGAGATAAGATAGAGAGAAAAAATACATCAGTCTCCCCTAATAAACATTAGGCACTATTTTGAGATGTCACCTTTACAGGTAAGTAATTCAATCTTCAATTGCGTTTGTCCTTCACCATCAACATGCACTTTCAAATAGAACTTGTTTGAAGAAATGCTTAGTTCACTAACAAAGGTTTTGTGGGTCTTCTCCTCTGATTTTTAAGGAAGAATGTGTTACAGAAATATACATGTGTTAGTCATCCTTTCATGAGGAAAGGCTGTTTGAACCATGGTCCTTGTGTCGAGAGAAACCATTATTAAAGTGAATTTGAAATCCGCTTTAATCTCAAGGAGAGACAGTTGAATCATATGAAATTGCTGATTGTTGACCATTTTTGAACTACAAAATGGAAATTTGATATGGTTCAACCCAAATGTTTCTAGAGAAAATTTACAAGAGTGATCTCATTAGTTTATACGGCCTACCAACTCATATTAAGAATAATATTTATAGCTCATATTACTAAAACAGCATAAAATCAAGTGCCTATTTTAACAAGAGACAACTTTGATGTTTGTGAGGAATACCAAATATTTTCAACCATTCAAATTTAATCTAAAGGCAAATCATCTTCCATTAACTAAAAAGTGTGATTTCATATGTTTTGTGGAACATCAAACACTATATTCCTGAACCTCAATATATTTTAGTGGCAAATACTATGAATTTAACAAACCTTTGAGAGTTATTCCATATTTAGGGGAGTTTTGACAAACTGGGGTACAAATACTTCCTCCTTTCAGCATTTGTATAAAAACAGCATGAATGAAAATAGATGCATGCATGACATATTGTCGCAATCTCATGGGCAAGATTAACTAAAAATGAGATAAAATACTTTCTTCTTTCTTGGTGGTCCATTTCAAAAGAAAGCAAAGGTCAAGTTCAATCAACTGGTCACTTAAAATATTTTCACTTGACTCACTTTACATATTGCAGGCTTAGCAGAACTATTCAATAGATTGAAATATTAGAATGAGATTCCCCTAAATCTAATTTGTTAGCATCCTCTATCAAAATATTTTTGTGGTTTGTCGATTTTGTTAACTCTGTAACTGTCTATACAGCAGTGAGGATAGTTGTGCCAAGAAAACTGGCATACACATTTTCAAAGGAGGAAGATCTGAAACAGAATTGGATTGTTCTGTGTTTCTGTCACAGAAGATTTGAATTACTATCTCTATTAATTGACACAATTATGCATGTATTTTCTTGTGTAATAACAGGATGAGAGAACTTCAGGCTAATTGTAGGGTAAGCAAATTTCATTTTCTTTTCAAATAAATGTTAGCATCAAGATCACATGAATTTTTATAGAAGTTTCATGTACGCATTGTCTTGGGAACAGCACCAGCCCATCCAACAACTGGTATTGCTGACTCCGTGAGGCAGGGCCCATTTCTAAGTCATCGGCAAACTTCCATAATAGTACTGAACAAAGACACAGCCCCAAATAATAACCACACACCGAGTGAAAGGAAAGGGGAAAAAACTGTAAAAATAAATCCTAAAATCAACGGCTCCCAGTGCTTCCGTTTCACTGATTTTAGGTGGGACTTGGGAAGGGTGGTTTAGGTTTTTTTTTTCTCCCTGCCTTTACAGTTCTACAATCACAATGGCCCTCTAGTGGGATGTTAAATTAAGAGGCATTTTGTTTGTATTGTTAGCAACTAGATCGAAACAGTCACAGAGAAATGTTTTATTATGGTGAGGAAAGGACTCTTAATAAGGCTCTTAGGAGACTGAGTTTTAATGATGCTTAACACAATGTTTTAAACCACACACCACATCTACATGTTATTTCTTGTTAAATGCTGGTTATTAAACAGCAGGCTGGCTCCAGATCGCCTGCAGAGGGTAGCTAGGGTTAGTTGATACATCTCTGACAATTTGAATAGTTGATGGAGTGACAAGTGCTGTTTGCATTTAAAGGATTTCACATTTTAACGTATGCACAGTGAAACAGTATATGTTATTACCCAATGTACTTCTACACAATATGTTGAAGGGTTAAAGCCAATTAAGCACAATTGTAAGTTTCGATTTCTTCTAGATTTCTGTGCCTTCATCCAAACTTAACATGCTTAAGGTAGAATGATTTCCCTCACTACTTAACCCAGGGATCTCTGTGGTGAATTGTTGTATAAAACTGCAGACCAGAGAACAAGTAAGCAAAATGAACAGAATATGCCCCAAGGAAAGACATAAGCTATAAAGGAAGACATGCTTATAACTAGCATTTTTTTAACCATTTAAATGCTTAGAATGTTTTCATTAAAAAGCAAAGAGAACATTGTTTGCAATGTCTCTGTTTTTACCACTGTTAATTTTACAACTTTCTTGCTCTAATCTACTTCAACCCCTAGGAGAACAAGTTATCATTTGGGTCAAGCAGAAAACTTGATGTCAAGGAACTAAGGTATCCAGTTTTTAGATGCTAATTATCAGCATTAAATGTGCTTTCCTCCATGTAGCCTGCTTTCTCTTTACATTTTTTATTTTGGTATCCTGCTTCAAAAGTGTTTAATTCTCTTTTGAATTACAAATTCCCTGAAATCAGTGTGCAAGGACCCTGAAATCGGTGTGCAAGGAGAAAAAAGCTGTCTGCAGCTTGGAAGAGATCTTTATCTTGGGGATGCTTACAGGTGAAATCAATGGGTTTAGTCATCTCTTTGGTAAGTTTTGGAGAAAATCTATTATTTTACTTGTCTCTTTTCTCCTTTAGGTTTTTATTCCTTGCCTCTTCTCACCATTGCCATGTTAAGATGAAAGAAATAGGAATATGTTGTGAGCCCAGATGCAAAGGAAGTCTGCATGTAGCATGGGTCAGTGATTTCCAGTGGGAGGTTTAGTGGCAGCTCTTTTCATAATTTCCAGGATCAGAGGGAGAAAAGTCCTGTCTTTAAGAAAGCCTTGAGCGTTTAGGTTTATCAAAAGAGGAAACAGGCTTAAGAATTAGAGCAACAGAGTCTGGGAAGAGTACAGAGTATTAGGGGATGAAGACAGGTTGGTTAATGGGCACAAAAATACAGTTAGATAAAGGAAATAAGTTCTAGTGTTTGCTAGCATGGTAGGGCAACTATTAATAACAATAATTTATTGTATATTTCAAAATAGCTGGAAGAAAATATTTAGAATATTCCCACCTACTCGGGAGGCTGAGGCAGTAGGATAGCTTGAGGCCAGTTTGAGACCAGCCTGGGCAATATAAAAAGACCTCATCTCTAAAAAAATAAAAATAAATAAAAATAAATTAGCCAGGCATGGTGGCACATGCCTGTAGTCCCAACTACTCAGGAGGGTGAGGCAGGAGGATCATTTGAGTCCAGGAGTATGAGGCTGCAGTGAGCTATGATTGTGCCCTTGCATTCCAGACTAGGTGACAGAGCAAGAACTCCTCCCTACAAAAAATAAAGAGAGAGAGAGAGAAAAAATATTATTAACAGAAAGAAATGAATAAATGATGAATGTTTGAGGTGGTGGATATTCCAATTACCCTGATTTGATAATTACATATTGTATCCATATGTCAAAATATCACAGGTACTCTATAAATCTGTACAACTATTATGTATCAGTAAAATTTAAAAAAATAAAATCCTCAACCACAATGAGTGAACTTTAAAATCTGAATATGGTCATGCAAATGGCATGAGTACAAATGTGATGCATTACTGGAAAGAAATTGTGAGAACCACTGGCTTAAGTTTAAAGCAGGCTAAAATAAGTTGAATGTTTGCCCACAGTCCAGGCCACTCCAAGGCTACGAGATTCATAGGGTTTGGGATCAAACCTAGGCTCTGCATACTTAATCATTTCTTTTCACTCAGAATACTCCATAGCACATTTAAATTACATGTAATCGTACTGCTGCCACATGGACATATTAGATTCAGACAGAACTCTCAATTCTAATGTTATATCTAAAGTCCTTGGAATGAACGACAGTATGAACTAAAGAAACTCTAGTTACAATCCCATTTCTGCCACTGATTTTCAGGTTGATATTGAACAAGTCACTTAACCTATTTGAGGACAAGTAGATTCACTTCTGAAGGCAGAATAATAATGTCTGTACTATATTCATCGTAGAGTTAATGTGAGACTTAAAATCAAACTGATATAAAGTATAAGAATGTGCTTAGTAAAGCAAAGTAAAATACTATATAAAAGTATGAATTGTAATTATTGATATAACCAAATTATGACAAAAGGTCCAAAACACACAAGAATCTCCCCTTTCCTTGAGAGTGATATGGCCTGAGATAATGCACTGTTTATTCAGTTTCTTCACTTGGATTAAAAAAAATACACTTTCATTGCATGATTTGATCTATTGGAGACACTAACAAGGGGCTAAATGGTAAACAAAAGGAGGCCAAATAAGTTACACATAAGTCTATTCTGCTATAAGCAGCCTATATCAAATTTTAATATATAAATATTTTCTAATTAATTTTTATGACCATCTCCTGATCATATTAGAAGATTGAAGTCCTTGCCCTTTGCATGTTCAATAGACATATAAGCATTACCATAATACTTGAACTTTTATTTCCATAGTCTTCTCCATTTATACAATTCTATTTAAAAGCATGATTGTTAAGAAATTACAAATGTTCAATTCCTGGCTGTGCTACTTACTACTGGTTACATGATATACTGGATAGTTATTAACTTATCTATTCCTCAGTTTTCTATCTGGAAAATGGGAATAATAACAATGCTATTCAATAGTGTTAATTTGAGTCATTTGAAATTCAAATGAGTCTGTATATATTTGTATTAAGTGCTTCGTAAATATCAGCATTCAATGCTAATATCTCAGTAAGAGGCACACAATTCTTCAGAAAAAAAAAAATAAGGAGCTAGTCCTAGTTCTCTTTCCTTCATACTTGACAGCTATGGGCTCTTTCTTCAATGTATATCCTAAATCTCACCACCCTCACATCTAATATTTCCTTAATTATTACCAAGCTTAACTTTCTAATTTATTTTTGATCATACTACAATCCACCCACCACAACCACCACTGCCAGAATAATTGCTTCCTACTTCAAATCATCCAGTGGTTATATCTTTCCCAGGGTTAAGTCTCAATTTCATATTATGTCCTAATAGGTAATAAATCATACAAATGTCTAAGCATATTTATATCATGAGGATGTAAGAATACAAAGTTAATGTTTCTTTAACATAGATATTTGATATTGCACTGTTCTTGAAATGTTACAAGGAAAGATTATTTAAAATATCAAGATAAACTTTCAGTTATAAAATGAATAAGCTCTGAGAATCTAATGTACAGCATGGTGACTGTAGTTAGTATTATATTATTTACTCGAAATTTCTTAAGAGAGTAGTTCTTAAGTGTCCACACCACATATACACAAATGGTAACTGTGTGAGGTAATGGATGTGATAATTAATTTGACTGTGGTAATCATTTCACAATGTATACACATATAAATCATCATGTTGTACACCTTAAATATATATAATTTTTATTTGTAAGTTATAACTCAACAAAGTGGAAATATAATGAAATAAAATATGAAGGCATTGGATATACTATGTACATAATAACTGTCCTTAATGATCCACTTTAAAGGATGAGGAAATTCTTCTTAGATTTCCACAGATTTCTTCTATCCTCATTGCCATTTTATTTTTATGTTATCGTTTTCATTCTATCTAGGTTTTACAGCCTTTATATAACTAACCCCAGCTGTCGTTCATATGTATGTTCTTTATTTAAATATTCCAATGCTCAGAAAATTCCTCACTTTCAATAAAATTTCTCTGAGTTTTATATATTTTGTTTTATCTCTTGGTTGACTGGTTTTCGCCATCATGAAAAAAGAAGATCATTTTACAAAAGAAGATCTTGAAGATTCTTGCCTGCTTAAGCACAATTGCGTGTTGTTTTCATGGTCAAATGTCAACTTGAAAAGTTATAATATCCTTGAATCACAGAATTCCTATTCATGGCCCAGCATCCTGTGGATGAAATACAAATTACCTCAACCCTATATAATATGTAACAGTGGGGCAATTAGAATAAATATTATAAAAGCTTTCATTTGAAAAATGGGATATGGGCAACAGCACAGTAGCCATTTGCCTAGTACATCTACACCTTGTTGGGCCATGATACCTTGGCAGAGGTGGGATTCTTTAGGCAGCCAAATTGCTGACCTCGGATCCAGCCCTGCAGTAGGATCTCCCTTGTTCATTGTCCTCTGTAGTAAGACCTGTAATTGGCAATATAGGAGTTTATCTCTTTGGGAAATGTTCAGTTTTGTCAACTCTCCTCCTGTGGTATAAATTTTGTAGTCTGGGTATTGCTTTAGGATTTAACAGTCATAGAAATTTTCAACTAGGCTATATCTTTAGCAGAAACTCTTCTAAAATACCCTGTTTAGCTCTCAGTATATTTTCTTTACCTCATTTCCACAGCCAGATATATTGCCTAGAGTCTCGTTGAATCTAGGGGTATCTGGCTCTTGGCATTGTACTTCTTTACCTCTGCTATCATTTTAATGGCCTCTGTACTGAAGTGGACTCTACTAGCTCTGAATGAGAAGGGAATGATTATCTTCCCCTTGCACCTTGCTTTGTATCAGTTCAGTCTTCACAATGAGAGAAGTCTTCTTCAGCCAGGGACAGCTTAACAGGAATGCTTGCAGGTGGGCTCACATTAAGGGAGATAATGCTATGTTAAATCATATCTCCTGCTAACACCCCCAACACAGACCCTGATCACATTAACTCTTGAGGCATAAAATTGTGTCTCTCTTGGCATTTAACAAAGTTATAATTTGTTCATTTTCTTCTTTCAGACATAAAGCTCAATTCTCTTCACCTTCAGCATAAATTTGTCCCTTTCCTCTGGGATTTTAATGAATGCTATGAAAAGTAGACAACACAGGCCTATGTCATGATCTAAGTATCTGCATAAAATAAGCCTTAATTTAACTAACTTTTTAGGAAAAGCATAATGAATACTGAGACTTCTAAACCTGAAAGAGCAAGGTTCTCAGTATTCTCTCTGCTCTATATCCTCAGTTCAACAGGGTACATATTTTGAAATCTGTTGCTTTCAGGATACCATATAATACAGACTTCCAATCTTTCTCTAACATTAAAATATCTCAGTCTTTTGCTACTGTGAAGTATCAGGTTTTTTGAAGAAAAGTATAACTTGGCTGTATTTATAGAAGGATCTTTCAGTGAAGATGAGATAGAATTTGGGGAAAGTCTATCTCAAAATAACTTAACATTGATTTTGGTTCATGTATCTTACAGAGCAATGAAGAGTAACGGTGAGAGGAAGACAGTGAGAAAGAGAACTTTTGTATACAGTCTCAGCATTTATCAGGACACTGTTCATATTCAAATGGTCAGATAGACCAAGAAAAGAAAATGAACTGGGCAATCAGAAATGGATTAGGCTATCAAAAAAAGAAACCCAATATTTGTCTTTCTAAGTGAATATGATGTATCAGGATTCAGAATGAACAGTAACACAAGATCTGCCAAAATACTTAGAACACTAAGTTTAGTTCTGTGTCACTTAGGAATGCCTTTTCTTCCAATAATCAAAGAGCTGATCACAGTAGTTAAACAAATTTCATCTCCCATTGCAAGAGGTCCTGAGCAGGTGGTACGGACACTAGTTCAGCAGTATCACATGGCCTAGCTACTATGTTTGCTAGTTTTCTCTTCGAAGTAACAAGGCTGTTTCAGCTATGACAATCACATGCATTTTTAGTAGGACGAAAAAAGAAAAGAGAAATAAAACAGATCTCATTAACAGAAAGCAATGACTGGGAAAAATCACAGTCGACTTCCATTTATATCCCATGGGTCGAAATTGTGTGATACGGCCACTTCTGTGCAAAAGACAAGGATAAATATTAGGTATTGACTACCAAGGATAAACATTAAGTCTTGCCTTAAAGAAAACTTCAAGAAATATGACCTCCAAAATGTCACACAAAAATGCATAATAAGTATCAATGGCCTTAGTTGAAGTGGAGTAGGATAAAATATTTAACATAATACACATGGCATTTTAAATAAAGTTTCACTACCCTGAACCCCATACAGTCTGCCATACAAATTAGCATCATGTCTATGCTTAAATGGAATCATATTAGGCATAATATAAGCCTACAATGGCCTAAAGGATATATAATATAATCTGTTTCTCTTAATTTTGACTTATAATTTTGATAAAATTTTATCTTTGTATAAAGAATGAATACAACATATATTTGTAAACATATTATTTTTATGGAAAGATAAGGCCTACTTTTTAATTTATGCATCCTTCCCACATGCTAGCATACATTATCTCATCACATTTTATTCTACTAATTATTAAATATTTATTTTCTTAGACGAAAAAAATCAGAGACTCAGAACAGTTTGCCTAAAGTCACAGTATAAGATGAAGAACTTGAAATCAATGAAAACCCCTGCTGTGCCGTGACACCACAACACACTCTAATATCTTGCTGTATGAGAGAAAATGAACACCAAGCTCACCTCTTCCTTTATACTGAAGATTATGTTCCACTTACAACACACTGCTGGAACGACACTTAAATGTCACCCTCCCCACCCAATTCTCTTTTTTGTTTCCAAGCTTGAGAAAAGGTGTCCTCTGCCTCTGAGACATAAAAGCAGCCCCTTTTACCAAAAAATCAACATTCTAGATCACAGTTCAGCAAACACTCATTTCCCCCCAGGCTTTTGGCCATGTTTGCACTGTCTAGTGTTAGTTATGCATATCTTTCACTCGAGCGCAAGTTATTTTGTGTGCAAGAACTATCTTGCTTGTTCTTTCTTCCTGAAAATTTCTGTCTTTCTGGTTCTTTCTTCCTGAAAATTTTTATGTCTTTCTCTTACCTTTTTACCCACTATAATAAGCTCCCCTCTATTTATGAATTATATTTGCTAACCTTGCCTGAAAGGGAGGCCTATCTAGTTAGCCCAGTAGAACAGAATGTAGGTGAGGCTAAAGATTAAATGCTATAAGCTTTTCTAAGGTCAAGTAAGAGGACATGCACAAAATTTATCACAGTGCATATCCTCATATATGTGCAGAGTGCATATCACTCATAACAGAGTGAGTTATACAGAGCCAGTATATACTATTGAGGCAAATGTTTTGAGATGTGATTTGTGATAAACCAGAAATCAAAGAGGATGGGAATGGGACATTGTTTTGATTAATCAGACATTGGTCCAGTAACTCTCAGTACAGCTCATTACTTCAAGCAATTGTTTCCCTGGGTAGATTGATATCATTTAAAAGGACTAAAAGATAATAAATTTATATTGAATATATGTTTAAAAAGTATGTCAATAGAAATCATGTGCAACCTGATCTTTCCAGTCATATATTTCAGTCATTCAACATAAAAAGGCTATTGATTTTTCTCCCACTTTTTAAATGATGTAGCTTTTTGCCTTTTTCAGCATTATTCCACTATAATATTCCTCTGCTCTTTTGATGTTTCATATCCCTCCCCAACAATCTATTATCCCTTTTATTCAAGATATTGAACCACCCCCATGCTCTTGTCTTAGATGTTTCTATTGAGCTTCCATCCACCTATAATTCTTCACCCCTATACTTCCCCCATCCTCCTCTCTCCTGTTGACATTTCATCCTTTTCATCACTTGGTTACTTGGTGGGAAGGATAAAAATCAACTCAGGGTACATTGAACAACTGGAAGACAATCTAATCTTTCAATCTGGCCATGTTTTCTCAATCATTTAAGCCTTATGAATATTGAGTGCGATCAGTTTCTAAATAAAAATCTTTTTTTTCAGAAAAAAAGCATTAGAATGAATAACTTTTTCATACTTAGGTTTTGCTTATTAGTAGTTTTCTATCACTTTTGAACATTAATCAAAAGATAAAATAAAGGTGATTTTGTTTCATTTAGAATCAATGAATAGTTTTAAAAACCATTTGATATTACTTTCAAAGAACTCTATCTTCTAGCAAACTGACTCTCTTTACTTTAAAGGTTCCATTTTCATAAGTCAAGCAGCACTGTGAAAACTGGCTAGGATCAAAACAGTCTCCTAATCGGTCTTTCCACTTCATCTCTTTCAAATCTCATCTCACAGATTTTCTCTGCACATCAGTGCCAGAATTGTCTTTCTGAAATAGAGCCATATCTGGCCTCCTTCTGCAATAGACTGCATTCATAGTTCCTATGCAGTAGGTTTAGGCTCCTAGACTGGCATCAAATTTTTCTATCATAAGATCCATGACCCTTTTAATATACTTCATTCCAGTCATGCTAGCTAATGATTCCTTTTAATCAGTGTCCAAAACTGTTGAGCTTCTGTGCTTTTGATCACACCTTTACTCCTGGGCCGTGGCTCCACTTAAAAATGCCCTTCCTACTCTTTTCTTCTTAGTGACAACTTTCTCATCTTTCACAATTCAACCCAAGCTTTTTCACCTCCACAAAGTCTCTGCTTTAATCTTAGGCATAATTTTCTACTCTTTTCTTTGTTTTCTAGTTCTAATATTTACAGAAAATGTCAACTACAGTACTACTTCATTATTTTTTAATTGTTAACTTCCAAGGAAGTTTCTCTTAGGCTATAAATTTCTTGAGGGCAGGAGGTATGTCAGATGTACCTTTGAATATAGCATTGATTATTATACTTAGTGCATTTAATAAACTTATTAGAAAGTTGCATAATGAATATAAGACAAGTAAAAAACAAATTGTGAAAATTTTTTAAAAAGAGAGGCCGGGCGCGGTGGCTCACGCCTGTAATCCCAGCACTTTGGGAGGCCGAGGCGGGTGGATCATGAGGTCAGGAGATCGAGACCATCCTGGCTAACAAGGTGAAACCCCGTCTCTACTAAAAATACAAAAAATTAGCCTGGCGCGGTGGCAGGCGCCTGTAGTCCCAGCTACTCGGGAGGCTGAGGCAGGAGAATGGCGTGAACCCGGGAAGCGGAGCTTGTAGTGAGCCGAGATTGCGCCACTGCAGTCCGCAGTCCGGCCTGGGCGACAGAGCGAGACTCCGTCTCAAAAAAAAAAAAAAAAAAAAAAAAAAAAGAGAGTACAGAAATTAAGTGGAGATTAAGAAAAATGTCACCAATAAATAGAGATAAATGTACTATGAAGCTAGTCCTCCCTTCCCCACCTTGCATAGCACCTGAGAGAGGGAACATTTTGTGGCTATTTTCAAATATATTTATTTGAAAATAAATATAAATTGCACCCTGCGCTGTGCAGGGTACAATTGGCAAGCTCTTCTATTTAAGCATTCATGATAGATTGCCTAAGGGATCAGAAACTCTAAGCCTAATTTGTTATAACTTTTCTTTTTTAAAATATTCACTTTCAAAACTAATTTTACATTAATAAATTTGTTTTTTTCCTTAATGAGAATCTCCAAATTTTATAATCTTCAAACTCCAAAAAACAATTCCATTCAGTCTCACCAATCAGATAGGAAAACATGATAATGGGAACAAAACAAGACAAAAAAAAGTAAGTAATTCATTCATAAATTTCGCCTTATACAAAAATGGCGTACTAGCCTCAGTAGCATAAAATTTTTGAGATAAGACAGATTGTAGGATAAGAAAATTTAGTTTATAACTCAGGAATGTTTTATGAGTTAATTCCATACAATGTCTTTGGTATTATTTTCATTTGTCCCTTAACTTTATTCTTAAATACCTACTTTTCGTAATAATCTGGTGAAATCCCGCAAGGAAAGGCCATTTGCCATTTTTCTTTTTATTTAAGGGCAATATCCAGAATGTAAAACTTGGTACGGTAATATAAAGTTAGAGTTGACCCTTGAACAACATGTGGTTAGGATGCCAAGATCTCATGTAGTCAGAAATCAGCAGATAACTTTTGCCTTCCTCAAAACTTAACTTAGCTATCAATAGCCTACTGTTGACTGGAAGCCTTACGGATAACTTTAACACTGGATTAACTCATATTTTATATGTTATAGGTATACTGTATTTTTACAATAAAGTTAGCTAAAGGAAAGAAAATGTTATTAAGAAAATCAAAAGAAAAATATATTTACCATTCATTAATAGAATAGTAAATATGATTAGTGGAAGTGGATCATTATAAGGGTTTTCATCCTCATCATCTTCACGTTGAGTAAGCTGAGAAGGACGAGAAAGAGGAGGGGTTGGTCTTGCTGTCTCAGAGGTGGCAGAAGAGGAAGAAATTCCAATTATAAGTGACTCACATAGTTCCAACCAGTGTTCTTCAAGGGTCAACAATACATATAAGTCAAAAGCTTTAAAACTGTGTTCTCTTTCATTTTCTAAATAAAATTAAACTATATTACCAAATACTGTCAAAGTGATATGAGTTATAGTACTAATTTTTATTACATTATTCTAATTATTTTCAAAACATTTGGATTTTAAGAAATTGTTGGTATCAGATTTGTTTGAAATGGCTGTCATAGTTAGGATTTGACATTAGAAAAAATATAAAAATTTCCAAAACTTCTTCACAAATTTGATAGATATTAAGTTATTTGTAGTTTCCATTTCTCTTAATATCAGTAATATTATTCATAGCTCCAAAGCTTCATTTGTTTTTTGTGGAAAAATTGCAATTATATAAAGAATTTTATACTTATAGTAATATCTGCTATTTTAATATATTCAATATATCTTTTATTGAAGGTATTTGTCATGTTTTACTGCAATAATGTTACAAACCAAGGACCCCAAAACTCAATGTTGTACGAAAATAAGCATTTTACTCTTTTGCTTCTGGTTCTGCAGTCCCATTATGACTGTGGCTGATCTAAGTCAATTCATCTGGGCACCTTGGTTTTGAGCTGCATATTATCTGGGCTTGGCTTCAAGCTAAAGGTTAGGTTTAGATCTGCTACATGTGTCAAACATTACTCCGGAACCAGTAGTTACCCAGGAAATATTTTCATTGCAATGACAGAGCAGCACAAGAAAGCAGCAAATGGCAATGCCTGAAAGGCCTCTATTGGAAACATAACACTGCCACCTCCACCTACATTTCATTGACCAAAGCAAGTCACACTGCTAAGTCTAACTTTAAAAGGGCTGAGAAATATATTCCACTCCTACTAGACACTACTGAAACTCACATATCAAAAAGTAAGGAGGAATAAAGACTTTGAAATAATGTGGTATACATCATCAACCAAACTTCAAAAATTTTTAAGGCAAACCGATTTTGTTAGGCCAGATGAGAGGAGGTATTTTGTGGAGCGGTATCATATTATTAATGTCAGGAGTGCAGATCCCGTTGCCTAACTTCCTGGAATCAAATCCTCACTCCCCCATGTAAGCTTTAGATGCTATCTCAGTGCCTCAGTTTCCTCATTTGTAAAATAGGGATGATTATAGTTAATCTATTGCTGAAATTAGTTAAAAATATATCTAATAAAATAGTTATAAACAGACCACAGATTATAAATAGTTATAAACAGTTATAATAAAAAAGTTATAAACAGACCTCAGATTAAGTGCTTTATAATATGCATCAACTCTCTTTTTAATCAGTCACGAAGATGAATATTGCTAATGAAATATCCAGCAGACCTTAGGTTCATTTTAATGATCATTTACTACTAAATAAAGGGAAATTTCAACCAGTTGGCGGAAAGTGGAATGCAAATCTTAGGAATGACATGTCCTTAATCATGCATCGAGATCTCACCATTCTCCCCAAATTGTGTAACACAAGTTTCAGAAATGCTTGTGCAGCTGAGAACATCATATCAGATCCTGAGAGGTTTCCATTCAGACTGAGGCTATGAGTAGGAAAAAAACCTCCCTGCCTTCTGGGATTTTCTCTGGAACTCAGAGACGAAGAGCTGCAACAACTACAGTTTCCACGAGTGACCACATAAGAGCAACTGAAAGATGGAGGAGGGGAAATGAAAAACCATGAGCCAGTGGAAGGCTGTCTGGATATATGGAGCCAGATAGTCAAGAGACAGTGGTCTCCTTATATGCCAGCACGGGTAATAGGGTTGTGGTGTGGCTGGCTCTGGCCAGGGGCTCGTGTGTAGAGCTGTGGCATGCTCAAAGGGAAGCTGCAAGGGTGGCCCAGTGACATCCAGAATGAGAGTTTCAGGCAGGGCACCACTTAGCCTTGTAAATTGGCTATTCCCTATTAAAGGTGGCAGGGAGGCAAGATTTATGAAAGCGATTACTTAACTGCATGGACAGAATCTATTTTCAGAGTTGCAGTAGAATCATGTGAGCCACCTGAGCCAGATGTAAAACCTCAGTGGCTTGACCACCCTAAAGGTGGATCCAAAATAGGGCCTAAAAGGAAACATTTCAATATTTAAATGAATGATACAGGGTCACGGGAACATACCAGTGGTGTCTCAGCCCTGTTTAAATCCCCAGTATCCGGAGTAATGCCTGGTGCATTGAATGTATGCTGTGACTGCATGTTAAATTGTGTCAGTTTGGAAGAGTGCAATGAAATCCCTCAAACCACAAATAACTTTATTTTTAAAGTTGAAACAATTATACCTGCCTTATAGGCTTAATAGAGTTATTGTGAGTAAAAATTGAGTGAATGAAGTCGAAAGAGGACCACAGAAAATAAAGTAAGGTATACATGTACACTTGGAGAGAGAGAGAGAGAGAGAGAGAGAGAGAGGAACTAAAGCATCCAGCCTGTAATCAAGTCACACACATTACCAGACTGACCTTCTTTATTTCAGAGAAGGAAAGAAAACAAGTGACCTTGTTTAATCTCCTTGTCACCTGCACCTGTAGGTAAAGACAAAAATAATATTTTCTAGAAGAAATAGTCCTTTTATATAGAATGCCATTAGCAAAATATTTCTGATTGAGGGTTATTTTTAGTAAATAAAATCAAGATCTACAGATTGGAGGCTTGGCTTCCTAGAGAATGTCATGCAAGCTATACAACTCCCTGGTGTACAGAATGGAAATAATATTCCTCATGCTTATAATACATAATTTAAATACTCTTTCTGCAATGCGACATAATAACTCTAAAAAACCTGACTTATGTATCTCCTCTATTATTCTGGGCAAAGATGTGTGTCTGGTGTGAGAAGGAAAGAACAGAGGAAAGGCTCTTCCTGTCCCATAGCCCTCTTTTCTTCATCTGAACCTCCTTATTGTCTGTATCCTTGAAATCCTTAGTAATGTTCAATACAGGATATAATATTGGATTTGCTTGAGCAGGATTTATTAATCCAATTCTAGAACCAATGGTATATCAAAAGTGCCCTTTCCCCCATTTTCCCTACGCTCACAGAAACACATGGGATAGGAAAATGGTTAAAATGGAAACTAAGCTCTGTCAGTTCCTCTGTGCCTACTGGGGGTGAATTTTGCAATACTGTCTTAGGATTAACAAAGTCCATTAATATGTATGAATACATATTTAGATATTAAAAAGTCAACTGACAAAAAGTAAATGGTAGAAAGAAGAACTTTCTTAAAAAACAAAGTAATAAATTGAGTTTGCTGGAATGGAGGTGCCTGGAGAAGGAGAGAAATAAATTGGGAGTGCAGCATAGTTGGCATAATATATTTACCTCACCAAACCTTCATTAGAGTCTGAAACACATAAAACGCTTTCTGTAGACAATTTCAATGGGAAATAGTGATAATAGTAAAAAAGCTATACTTTATATCTGTCTGAAATGGTCCCCAGAAGAATGGTAAGATGATCCAACATGAACTAACTGGTTGGAATTAGGAGTTTATAAACGAAGATGTAAAGAAAAGAATGGAGAAGGAAAAGTCACCATTATTCTTCCACAGAAACTTCACAAAGACTGCAGAAATTCAGGGGTTTAACAGTCTGTGTGATGGACTTTCAATTTACAAGGATAGAAAATTTCAGCTGATACCTATGACAGTTGTAACAGGCAATTCACGTGTAATGTCACATTGCATGTTTTCTAAATACAAAAGTTTGAGACAATGGTTTAGAACCTGTACCTTTAAAAAGACACACCTGATTCGCCCATCAGGATGGTGAAAAAACACAAATATTATGATAGATTTATCTATATAATTACATAAAGTTAAGAACTTCTTCAGAAGAATGTGTTACTGTGTCATACAATTTTATAGTTTCTATTTCTTCAGGTATCATATTTGCTTTTTTACTTTACTAATCCTAAATTGAACATATCCTAATTCTTAAAATTAATTCTAAAAGTAATGAAATTAGTCATATTTAGTAGCCTACCTATCTACTACTTTAAGAAAATATCCCAAAATTTAGTGGTTTGGAATAACTACCTTCTAATATATTTTATAATTTTGTGAAATAGCAAATAATGCAGGCTCATTCTGGACAATTATTAGCTCCATATTACATGACATGAATACTTGGTAGTAGCCATAGATAGCTGAGGTGGTCTGCTGGATCCAAGACAGCTTTATTCCCATGTTTGGGATCTTGGCAGAGCTGGATTCTACTGGGCTCACTATTTTATTTTGTAATCTCAGGGCCTCTCCACCACGTGGTTTATTCAGGAGGATAGTTGGACTCATACTACAGCTTAGGGCCTTAAGAGCAAGGGTCATAACAGACAAAAAGTGGATGCTATTAGCCTCTTAATGCTGTGGCCCAGAAACTGGCATGGAATTATTGCAGCTATATTCATAAGGCACTCACAGAGCTCACCAAGATTCAAGTGAAGAGGAACTTGAACTCTTCTCTCAATTGAATGAATATTAAACCTTTGTGATCATTATTAATCTACCGCATAATTCAATCTAAAATTGTAATAGTGCAGTCCATTTAATTTGTAATGATTAGTTTTATATGTATAGTATTTTAATGTTTTATTATTCCATCCTATAATAACTGATTGAAAGAGGTTCATCTATAAGATAAAACAAATCTATTCTTATTTATCTTCTTAACTCTCTTAACTCAGGCAATGCATAATCTTTTAAAAAGTGTTCTCTTTTTCTTTAAAAAATACCTAAGCATTTCTATGAGATGAAAGTTGACACGTCTATAGTTCTTTGTTTGGATTTTGAGTTGCATAGGGAAGAATAAGGCACATTTTCTTTTGTCAGGTAAAAGCTGCAGAAGATGAATTATGTTGATTCATAATAGACATGTCATTTCTAACCTTCCAGTCTTTGCAATCTGAAAAACACATTCCACTAGTCATGAACATCCTCTTGACTGTACATATGCTCCACCTTAACCTTGTATCTCCTCCAGGTATTTCCATGCTGATTTGTTCTGGTCTGACATCTCCTTTGTGTGCCAGGATTTAAGTTAACCTTTTATGCTTTTATAACAGATGCTATATACGCTGTAGTCAGGCATTTGGTTAATTGCTTCTCTGATGGAGAGACCATCTTCAGTTGCAAAGGATTTAAAAAGATTCAGGAAATCAACAATAGGTAAATTATGAGAGGATCAGAGAGTCTTCCCTGCTAGAAAAAAAAAAAAGTAAATGTTAAAAGCTTGATCTGATCCTCATGCTCATGCATATTTCTGAAATAAGATTTGTCAACGGCAAATGCAACGTAGCTCAAATTTGATATTAGTGACTTTGTCTATTTTGTATGCTGAAGCCCTAAAGCAGCAGAACTGACTGCCAAGTATTGATGTAAGTGTATTGACAAAACAGAAGGCTTCACAGTGAGGACATTCTCTCATAAGGCTCCACACAGTGACTCTGTAATTACAGCTTCAGTCTCTGCGTATCACATCTCTGGTCCACTGAACTGTTGGACTTGATTTCACCTCTCACCCCCTTCTAACAATGAACAACCATCAAAAAAATGACAGAGGGAGGAAAATGACCTAAGTACTATAGCTAATAACAAATTACCTAAAACAAATATTCTTTCTGAGATGTGGAAGTTAAGGTTTATCAAAGAATCAGAAATAATAGATACCCTGTGCATCGTATCTTTTGCTAAATTCCACTTTAGTAGTGTGTACAACTCTGCTGTGATTTCTTAGAAAATAACATACTACAGAGGGAATCTCCTCTCAATAATGCATTAGAAAAAATAAACCTTGTTCCTAAGTGAACTGTGAATTATTTCACACCAGAAGAAATACTGATCATCATAACAGATTCACAGTTTTTATGACCTGCTGAAGAGGCTAAAATCAACACTGAGATTTTTGTCATATTTGCGTAACCAATATGCATGCCCTATAGGAGATGGTGTTGGTAACATAGAACAGTGCTCTCTATGGTAGGGTCTATTTGTCCTGTGGGCTGAACTAGACAACCATTTGAGATACAAGCAGGAAACATTAGCACTTCTAATTACAATTATTTTTAATTCATACTTTTAAAGTTTTATGTATATTTCATAATATACATAGTATTTTTTTATTTTTATAGAATTGTACACATACATATTTTATAAAGTAGATTTTAAGTATATATATGATGCAAGAGCATGCTCAAAATATTTTTAACCCATGTGGTACATGATATAAAATGTTTTGTGAACACTAGTCTCTAATAGTGAAATTATTCACAGGGTAATCATGGTTTTTTGATATTAGCAAGAATACCATAAGGAGTAGTAGAATAGTAAGAATGTAATCTTTGAAAATTAGCCAGTCTAGAATAAGAATTCCATTTACATCTTTTTAAAGAAAATATGATCTTAAACCAGTTGTAATATATCTAAAAATCAAGATAATAATAAACCTCAAAGAGATGTTGTCAGGATAAAATAAAACCAAACAAATGGTATTAATTAGTACAATGATTAATATACACAAGTGCTCTATAAATGTTAGTTCTGCTCTACCTCTTCCCTCTCCTAGCTTCCTTTGGCCTTTGTGTATCATTTTGTATTCATGGCTATATTCTATGTTATAAGGCTCCACACAGTGGAACCTTAATCTCTCTCACTACTAAATAGAGATATCCTGTAGGTTTATTTCGTTAGTTGTTTTATATGTAATTTAACCTTTATTTAAACAGAAATAGATTATGCCAAGAAAAACTTTTAATATTTTAAGGCAACTAATGTTGGATGAAGTAGAAAAATGGTATTATTTTTCTCTTGACCATCATTTCTTTCTTAACTCTCTCTTGTTTCCACTCAGCCACATTCTGCTTTCCACCTAATAGATGAGTTCCCCTCCACCTGGAAAGAAGGGTACAATACTAGACCTCATTCCTCATCATTTCTCAGTTTTGCCCTCTTTCTGGTGGGAAACTCCTGCCTTGCTCCACTTCTCACCTTGTGAGAGAGTTCATATTGGCTTAAGCCCCAAACATCTCTCTCACTGGGGCAGAATTTTTTTCTCAATCACTTCACCTCAAATCTTACCTTGAAAACGTTACCTTTTTATATTAAAAAAATCAAACAAAAACCCTCTTTTAACATGGGATTGTGCTTTCCACTTATTTCATTTTATTTATCCCCAGGATTTGGATCCTTCCTCTAATCTTCCCATCCAAACAACCCCTTGCTAACACACACAAACTAGTAGCAATAACAAACATGAAGGCTCAGTTTTAAACTATGCCCCAAAGATTTAAATATGAGCAGCAACATAAAACTATTTTCTTTCCTTCATGCTGCTGAGTTATCATCTCATTATTATTGCTTGAAAAACAAACACATGAGCCCTACAGCAAGACATATAACAAGTAAGAAAGCATAATCAATGAGATTCTAACATGTACTTTATCAAATTATAATAGAAAACCAAAATGGAGAATACAAGAAAGGGGAAATAAACCAAGACATGCTGCAAATAAAACCTGAGAGGATGGAGATCCAAGAAATGGACACCTTTTGAGTCTCATCCAGGAAAAAGTTTTATTATCTGCAAAGATGAGAAAATCAGTCGTCTCCAAAATGGTAGATGTTGGAAGGTCATATGGATGAAGCCATAATTAACTAATTTATTATTCTAAAATATATTTCTCTCATTGGAGATAGTCAAGTAATTGACTCAAGTTAATGTTTCTACTTTCAGTGCCTCTTTTTTATGTGTCTTTACATAAAGTCATATTAAATAGTAGAAATAAAATAATTATGCAAATAATTCATTGATAAAAATCCTTCATTGGTGCACACTAAATTAGGAGGAGCTGAATGATCCAATTTTAGCTATACATATTGGTAAGGTCCACCCCAAGCTGGTAATATTTTACCTTGTGTAATTTCATAGCTAAATACGAGACTGCTTATCCTTCTCCAGTGTCTAAATTGTAACAGGTGGGTATGGTCCAGTGCAGGGAATGACAAAATGCTATGAGCTATGCAGAATTTCAGATAGGTGGGAAAATAAGGGGTAAATCCCTATTCAGTTTTTTCTCTGTCACTTAGGTCTAGCTGCCTGAGACACATATTTAGCCTCATCAGTGATAATAATAATAAAAGAAGGCCACCACAATGTGTTCAATTCTAATGGCATAAGTTTGGAGCTGTTCTCATACCATAAATCTACCATTGTAGTGTAGTTTGGTGATTAAGACTGCAGGCTCTGGAGATCGACCGTGGGCCTTTCTAGCTCTGTGACATAATGAAACTAACTTCTCTCAGGAATTTGTATGGAGTTTAAGTGGATTAATACAGTGGAACACTTAGAACAGTGTCATCTATGTTCAGAAAATTGCTATTCTTTTTATACTATCTTGTACTAAAGATGGCACTATTTATAGGACACTTCTGTCTAAAAACCCAGAAGCTACCACATCCCAGGACTGATGCCCTCACATTGATGCGGTGGATTCAAAATAAATATTAGGTTACAAGTACATTGAGTTTAGATAATCAGGCATAGGGTGATGAGAAGTTCCAAAATATTCTTAGGACCTATTAAATAAATTAGAAAATAACACTTTAAAATCAGTTTAACATTCTTAGAAATCATCACTCAATAAAAAGGCTTGTAATATTATAATAGGATGATGATATATCTGTGCCTACCCCAGGATGACTAAGATGCTTCAAGGAGATAGTCATGATCTATAGAATATAGGTGCACCAAGGTGAGCTATGAAGTTATTAGTTATAATCTCCTTAAAACAGAAAGTTTCTATAACGTACAAAATATAGAAGAAAGGAGACTAAGCAAAATAATTTTTCAGTTTACTTTGCACTTGTTCCAGTGAGAAGGGTTCCCTGAGCAGCAAGTAGGAATATTCCCAAGCACTTAGCCATTACATCTCCATTTTTTATGATTAAGATTATTTCACTATCTTTACTCTGTCTAGTCATGCATATACACCAAGAAATCCATCTAGGAGATTGTGAAATAATCTTTTTGAAATGTCAATTTAATCCTGACATTGTTCCTCTTAAATTGTTTACTATGTCCCCAAGTTGATGGTTTCAAAAATGAGGATCACACATTCCTCAGGGACAGAAAAGAGAAGAACTAAGAAAGAAAAGTAGGATAAGTAGGGAAAAAAGAGGGTGAGAATCAGGATTGACCAACAGCACTACATTAGAAGACGGGACAAAGCAAGACCAGCAGGGTAGATGAAGAAGGAGAAACCAGGGAGGAAAAAGAAAACGAATGTTCTGTCCTTGAAGCCAAAATAAGAAAGAGTATTAAAGAGGAGGGGTAGGTAAATATGCCTCCTTCTGCTGAGAGTTTGAATGGGATAAGAATAGTGACATGGCCACTGGTTTTGACACACGGAGATTGTTATGACATCAAGAGTAGGGTGAAGGGATTTGAGTAGATAAGAAAAGAATGACAGAAGAAACAGTAGAAATGGTTGTAGAAGTATGAACAAGTTTAGTGGAGAGATGGAAGAGTAGGCTGGGCACGCTTGTAATCCTAGCACTTTGGGAGGCCGAGGCGGGTGGATCATCTAAGGTCAGGAGTTCGAGACCAGCTTGGCCAACATGGTCAAACCCAGTCTCTACTAAAAACACAAAAATTAGCTGCGCGTGGTGGGGGGCACCTGTAATCCCAGCTAGTAGGGAGGCTGAGGCAGGAGAATTGCTTGAACCCAGGAGGCAGAGATTGCAGTTAGCCATGATGGCACCATTGCTCTCCAGCCTGGGAGACAAAGGGAGACTCTGAAAGAAAAAGAAAGAAAAATAAAAGAAATGGGAGAGTACTTGAAGAAGTACATGGGTCAACGGAGGGTATTTTGACATCAATTCTAAGCTCTATGGATTTTTATTTTGTTCACTACTTAATACCCAGTGCCTAGTACAGTGTGTGGCACACACAGTTGCATAATGATGGATGGAATCCAGAGCAGAGAGAAATTTATAGCCAGAGAGCTGAGCAACAGCTCTCCACAGCCATACCCATCATGCAGGGATCTCTTGCCTTGAATGAGTGCCATGCCATTGCACAGGTACAGAAACCAGAGAGTACAGGATTGCCTAATTCTTTTCTTCAACTAGCTAATTCTACTTACTTTTGATCCCACTTTGTTTCACCCCCTCAGGGAAGCTTTTCCAGATCCCTATTCAGATTTGGAATTGTCTTCTCTTCACACCGCTATAATTGTTATTTTTATTTGGCTGTCTTTCCAACTAGTCAATAAGCTCTTTGACGGTGGAGACTATTCCCTGTTTGATTTTTCATCTCAGTGTCTGGCACAATGTCTGGTATAAATCAGACGTCAATACACATTTGATGAATAAATAATACATGACATTCCTACTGGGAATACAACGTGCTTTTCAGTCAGCACAGATATCTAGTCTTCTTGGTATTTCTTTTCTATTTCTCATTACACAGTAATCCATGACTGTATATTCATACGCAGGTTTATTAGTTTCTTGTGAGTTGGTGAGCAAGATCCAATTCCTTATAGCCTTTTAAAAGGACTAATTTGCTTTTTGTGATTATGCCAATTTAGGAAGTAAGAGCTTAATCCTTAAGAGGCAGAGGGCTAGTTGCCTTCACTCTGCATCAACTTAACTAGTGTAAATAAGAAAAGAAATAATGATGGTGTCATCATACAAGTATTGTGTGATAATTTTTTCTATTTTCTTATGAGTGACTTGGCCCCTTAGAATTAAAATATTAAATTACATTCTGATTACATTGCATATTGTCACATAGTCTTCCTTTTAGCTACCATAAAAAAAAACAAACCATGAGACAATAGGCACTGTCACAATTTTTACTTAACTATTTTTTTATTTAATGTCCAGATTAGACTTTTCCTAATTGAATAATAATAAAAAGCCTTTGATGGTGAATTCTCATCTTTATTCTTTATTGTTATAGAAATTATCACTATACGAATTAACTATAATTTCTTTTAACTTTTATTCTAATATCCCATGGCTTCAAGAAGCTACCCTGTTTTGAAATATTAATGCTTTTGGTAACTATATTTCTCCAGTCTTTCATTTCTATTAATATTCAACATGAAGTAGGATGCCTTTAAATACCAATAACTGTCCCAGTTCATCCATAATTCATAAATCCCTTTTTAACATGTAATTCATAGATATGGGTATTGCCCACTGACTCTGGAATTAAAGTGAGATAGAACACTGGCAAGCATCACTGGAAAAATAACTGTCAGTTTCTGCAACCTTATAAAAATCAGCTGGTTAGTTGAAGTTCAAATTAGCTCCTTGTCAAGGAGGAAAAGCTA
Source organism: Homo sapiens (assembly GCF_000001405.40). Lineage (NCBI taxonomy): Eukaryota > Metazoa > Chordata > Mammalia > Primates > Hominidae > Homo > Homo sapiens. Next base: position 129,782,774 of record NC_000004.12, on the reverse strand, counting down.
TTAGAGGCACCCCATGGATCCAAATTTTATTTTATTTATTTTATTTACATTTTAACAACATTTGATGAGATAAAGCTCTTCAAAAATACTGTATCATTTGCAAGATGAGTTGCTGAATCTTGACAAGGAAGTAGTCCTAACCACGACAAATGCCATTCTCAAAAATGAATTTTAAAAATATTTACAACTGTCAATCAAAAAATATGGCTCTGTTTATACAAATAAGACTATATTTTAAAGTGGAGAAACAATGCATGAGTGAAATATTATGCCTTCTATTGAATTAATCAATGAATAGTGAAAAAGATAACAGATTTATCTTTAAGGGCTTTGATGATTTAATTTAAGGTCTAAGATGTTTTATAAAGCTTTATTTAATTATACTAATAATGAACAAAGTTTTATTACAATGCATATTTTAAAAACATTTTACTCCTAGAGATGCCTCAAATAATTTAATCTGCCTTCCGTATTGCACAATACAATGGCCCCAGGTCCTGATGCAGAGCTACAAAATCTTATGGGTGATGGGAGCATCTTTTTTTAAATGAAGCAACTCTTGACAGCCTACTGGATAGTTTCAGGATGGAGATTTGTCACCAGTAAGACCAAGCCATGATTAGAAGTTTAGAACTTTTAACCCCACCCCCATCTTCCAGGAAGGGAAGAGGAGCTGGAGATTGAGTTGATAATCAATCATGTCTATATGATGATAAAAACCACTAAAAGATGGTTTGGGAAACTTCCAGGCTTGTGAACACATCCATGTGCTGAGAGGGTGGTGCACCACAACCCCATTGGGAGAGGGGTTCCTGCATGTAGGACCCTTCCAAACTCTGCCCTGTGTGGCTCCTCATCTGGCTATTCTTCTGGATCCTTTGTAATATCCTTTATAATAAACTGGTAAATGTAGGTAAGTGTTTCCCTGAGTTCTGTGAGCCATTCTAGCAAAATGATCAACCTGAGGAGTGGGTTGTGAGAACATCTGATTCATAGTCAGATGGTCAGATAAACTGGTGACAACGTGGACTTGTGACTTGTGTCTGAAGTAGGGTGCAGCTTTGAGGAACTGAGCCCTTAACCTGAGGGGTCTGTACAAAGTCCAGGTAGATGGTGTCAGAAGGAAATTGAGTTACAGGGCCTCCAGCTGGTTTTGGAGAATTGGTTGGTATGGAACTACTACTCACCACCTCCCTGCTCGCCCCCACCCTGCCACATCTGGCATCAGAAGTAAAGTGTTCTGGAAGTATTGAATACTGTAAGAACATAGAAGATGACAGCAATTATTTTTTTCTACACAGTTATTGGCTATCTATGTTCTAATGTACTTACCCTTCTCACAATGACTACCACGCTGCCCAACAGGCAAACATGGTAACCTTTAAAATTGAGCTCCAGCATCACCTCCTATTTGAAGGTATTTTTATGTATTGCTGCTGTCCCCACAAGAGAGCTATGCAGCTTGTCCTCTGTTGGTCCTCTGTACTCTGTTCAAACTCTGTCATAGTGTTTTCACCACTGCCCCATCCTGAATTTGTTTACCTTTCTGTCTTGACCAGTTAAGTGGGAATTTCTTGATAGCAAAGATGACTCTTTTACATTGAAATAGGGGAATTTTGGAGAGAATGTTAATTTTTAAATGAGAGATGGATTTAGAGTAATCAGGTTGATTTTGAGAATGAAAAGGGAAGTGCAAAATCTATAAGAATGCTATCTCTGAAAACTAAAGTTCCAACAGAGTTACAGCCATAATATACAATTATATCCAAGTTATATAGAATAAAATATCTTGATTTAAGTTACATAAATATAAAATTAATGGCTAAATTTTTGACATAGAATCAGGTTACATTAAAAACATATATACCAGACATATCCCAAAGTAATCTTAAGGTTTCCATTTGAATTTCAAGAATGCATTCTTCCCTTAGATTCTGTCATACAGGTAACATTAACAAATAATAACCTAGTAATTAACTCATCAAATTGTGAATATTGAAAGTTGTATGACTTAAGAAACTGATCAAAAGTGGTAGAAAAAAAATTTATCAACCCAAAACCTCAACTAATGGTTTACAATGTATGCTCTGTATACCTATAAAAAATGTACAAAAGTTTTGAATATTTTAGCAATGATCTTCTCTTCCCCATCCCAAGCCTGTGCTGTAATTAATACATATTGAGGTTAAATCATATCATCAATACCGAAGTCCTTGAACATAATTGATAGGACAGCATTGAAGTAATGTTCACCCAGTACAAAATTTCTGGTCCAGTAGAGGGCATTGAAAGAATAATAATGACATGCCCAGATCATGGAAAGGAAGAGAGCCAAAATTAGGTAATTGAGAAGAGGTCGAAATCAATATTGAAATTTACTCTTAAGAAATGTGGCACAAAGGTGAGAGGAAACCTTGCCACAATTTGCAGCATCACTTGTCACATACACACACACCACTGGATTTGTGTATTTATGAGTTATACAGATATTTTTCAAAAGCATATGAACAAGTTAATGTAGTCAAAGAAAAGCCAGATGCCTACCCACTGAGAGACTTCACAGAGTGACATTAACTTGGTAATTTTACCATGTCCAGAGGTTGATTGTGAATTTTGCTGAAACTAGAGCTCCAGTGTCCCTAAAGCTGAGTTTAACTCTTGAAAATTATACTCACACATGACAGAAGATAGATGGAACACTAGCTGATCTCAACTGCTAGACCAGTGTACACGCCTTTCAGGTAGTCTTCTCTTAGGAGTGCATCCTGAAAATAAAGGAATCAAAATAAAGTTAGTTATATAATTCAGATGTTCTGTTACATTATCTTCTATGATATGTGAGGATATGTGATATGTGATGTGCTTATCCTTCTCACAATGACTACCATGTGAGCTGTGAGTTGGTACATCTGACTCCACTACAAGGATATGCAAGTGGACACAAGACCTCATTAATTAACTAGGCGTTTTTTCTCTCTCTACTTGAGAACTTATTTTTGCCCTTTTCCCTCTTTGATTAAGACTTATCTCTAACATGAGAACCATTCTGCCTCTGCTCTTATTCAACCTGAGTTTTCCTCTTCCAAGTTTTTGGAGAAAAGAGGACAGGTGGAACTTACCATTACACATGTTCCACCTATGTTTCATAATGTTCCTTACTCTTAAGTCAGGCCACTTTCAGATTCATGATTGGTGTTGGTAAACAGAAACAGAGGGAAATTTTGCAGTCTTCTCTACAGCGTTTTGGGAACCTCTACGTTTCTACTGCTATTGCCAAAGATAGTCTGAACATCCTTATATATGACATTGATCTGATTAGTTTTCTGTATTTTTTAAATATGATTACGAGGGGCAGGAGAAATGGGAAGTTGTTGTTTAATGGGTACAGAGTTTCTGTTTGAAATCATGAAAAATTCTGGAAGTGGAGAGTGGTACTGGTTGTACAAAATTATGAATGTACTTATTTAATGTCACTAAATTGTACATTTAAAAATGATTGAAAGGTCTGTTGGACAAGAAGTTGTTGTAAAAAGAAAAAAAATTTTTGGTAATGATTGCAAGGCACACACACACACACACACACACACACACACACACACACACACACACAATGTAAGTGGTTTGTTACCAGCCCAGATTGGTTCCACTAAAGTATCTTCTGGCCAGATGTGGTGGCTCACACCTGTAATCCTATTGCTTTGGGAGTCCAAGTCAGGAGGATCACTAAGGCCAGGAGTTTGAGACCAGGCTGGGCAACATAGCAAGACCCCCATTTCTACAAACAATTTTTGTGTTTTAGAGACAAGGTCTCACTCTGTCACTCAGGCTGGAGTGCAGTGGTATGACATGGCTCATTGCAGCCTCAATTTCCTGGGTCAAGCAGTCCTCCCACCTCAGCCCCCTAAGTAGCTGGGACTACATGCACACAACCTATGGTATTGGTATTGGTATGGTATATGGTATTGGTATTGGTATATGGTATATGGTATTATGGTATAATATCATACATATATAGTATTATAAGGCCAATGTTGCCAGCAGAATCAAAACCTCAAACAGGTAATAAATGAGAACAACATCTACAATAAAATCCATGTTCTGAGCTCAGTTCTGTGTTTTTCAAAGTGGCTGCAGGTCACAGTGAGACTTGCTCTTCATGAGCAAAAGGTATTATTATCTGTCTGCCCTTTCAGACCAAGGCTTGCAGTATGAAAAGTAAATAACGGCCTGATACTTTTCATGAAGCTTCTGCAACTCTTCCCCAAAGCAACTGATAATGACTTCTTGTCAAAAGAAATCTAGGAAACATTTTTTCAATTCCTGTGAAAGTAGTTCTACATTTATTTTAGAGATGTACTCATGCACCTGGCCAAGTTGGCAAGGGGACACACAGTGCCCTCCAGCTCTCCAAAGCAAATCAGAGGCTTAAATGACAATGGCAGCCAAAACACTCCCTTGGACTCTACAGATTTTCTAGCACTATATCACAATTGCAGTAATAAATAGATTTCGTCGGCACAAATTCGGTCTATTAAACTCAAATTATATGCAAAAAAAGTATCACTTATAACTTAACAGTAAGTTGCTTCATAATATGTATAAACTTATATGTATTTTCTGTTGTCAATTTGGTTTCTTTGGGAAAAGCCACAGTCTATGGAAACTTTTCATTCTATCTATGACATCAAATGAAATCAATTTAGATTTTCTGAATTTTCCATGTAATTGGCTAAAAATAGATTTGTGCAAACCTAGATGCAGATTCTGGCCACTCCATTGACTTGCTATGTGAATTTGGAAGCATTACTTCCTGTTTCTAAGTCTCAGCATCTTGCTTTGCAAAATGGAAGTAATGATAACACCCATTTTGTAGATTTATTAAAGGATGTAATCCACATCAACCCTTTTAGTGTCAGGCATATAGAATATACTCAGTACATGTTAGCTTTTATGGTAATTTAGTTTTATTATTGATAAATATCTCAAGTACATTTTAGCAATTATGATTTGTAAGAGAATCTTGTTCCCCTAAACAATTTTTATTTTTACTCTTGCTGTTTATTGATTTTTATCTGCTTGTTTTTTTCTTTTTGGAGACAGGGCAGGGTCACTCATATTTCAAGTAGGTAATTTCCATGTAAGTTGCTTTGGAGAACAAAAGAATTGTTAAAATAATTGATAAAAGTTACTTTGACATATAGGTTTACCCTTTAGGATTAAAATAAATGAGGAAAGCTCAAAGCTGTTAGTGTCTTTGCAGTAATATAAATAATTCATAATTGTCAGTATAAAAACAAACATTTTGAAACATCATAAAATTATATTTATAACATCAACAGTAAATTTCTTTCTTCTAATCATATTTTCCCTGTGAAACATTTGATTTTCAGTCAAGATAATGATTATTGCTCTTTTGGGTAGCTAAAATATTCTCTTCATCTAGGCTATCACCACTTCCAAGTAGTCATTAGAATGAGTAACGGTTCTCAGGAGTCTTCCCCAGCCTGACTGGCTGTCACCCATCCTAAGATAACTGACAAAGGAGTCTAGAACTACCACTTTGTGTAGGTCTCAGCCTCTGTGCCTTCCTGTGGAGATGGGCCAGAGTGGCTATAGACCGAGTTCTGCATTATGTTCCAGTTGCAGAAAGACTCTTCTCATGGCCTAGACACACATGTTCAATGTGATAGCCACTATCTGGGTGCACGATTTAAAGTTTCCATTAATTTAAATTAAATAAAATGTAACATGCATTTCTTTGGTTGCTCTTACCACATTTTATATGTTCAATAGCCACAAGTGGCTAGCAGGCATCATTTTGAACAACAAAGATATGAAAGATTTCTCTCACTGTAGAAAGTTCTATTGGACAGCACTGGCCTAGACCATGGGTGAACAAAAAGACAAGCAAAGCCTGAAGCCAAGTGTCACATGGCCGGGGTACAAGGTGGTAAACATTGATATCTCTTGTTCTTATATTCATTCATATCATTTCTTTTCCAAATTAGTCCTGATTTCTTATTTTTGTGTTTTCACCTGTAACTTTATGAACGTAAGCTAGTAAATATTTTTTCTAATTCTGGAAAAATAAAATAAATGTGTTCCATATATGGATTGATGGAGAAACTCTCCCTATTATGTATTTGTATACACTGTGGCTCCTCAAAACTCCAATGACTGAATTTTATTCCACTTGAAAATAATTTAAGATGGTATCACTATATTAAACTGCCTATTTAAAATTTCGGAGGGCTTCCCTGAAATGTCCCACTCACAGGTTCATAAGATTTCATTCACAATGCTTAATATTAATATCTTGTCCTTGTCATGTCTCTTGTTATTATAGTTATCAAGAGAATCCATGAGCTGTAAAACTCTAGAGAATAGTACATTTGAAACATGCCAAGCAACTGTGCTTCCCTAAATTCTGATGATGAAAGGTATCCTAGAGGAAGGGCTGCATTAAATGTTCAGGTGATATTCTGCTCGCCAAAGAGAGCCAGCTGTTTATATTTGGCGGCATAATGCAACAGAATTATCTGATTTGCAAATCTTGGGATATGGAGATGCAGATAAATGTTAGCAGTATAAACCAGCAAATGTAGAATGGGGCTATATTCTTACTATTTGGAGGAAGACTTTGTATTTCATATTTGTGCATATGGAGCTTTGAAAACTTATTCATAAACATGCCTTCTGAGCAATATGGCACATAAGGCATTTTTTTTTTTTAATATGGCCAAATCTGTATTAGGATATTTCTTTGCAGAATGCTATATAAACAAATATTTTGAAATTCCACTTACATAAAACATGAATAAGAAAGGTGTTTAGCCATGAAATAAAAGTGTGTCTGGTGCATTTTAAATAATAAAATGTGTGTTTCTGCTGCCAATCAAATGTCTTGTATAAAGATATTACTCTTTGTTAGATGCAAAAGTCCCTCAATTAGCAAATGACATGTTAGAATTTCTTTGATAAATTCACTCAGTTAATACATTCACGTCTTAGCCTTCACAAAAAATTCTGCACTCAAGAGGAAAAAGTGTATTCATAGGAAATTTGTTTATGACTCTGAAAATGAATAAAGACCTTTTATCATAGTAAAACAAAAAGTATTACTTTTCCTTGAAAGAAAGGAAGTTTAGCCATCACTACTAGTAGCTAAGCAAGGAAAATCTATTCTTTTCCCTTCAGTTGAAGAGAACCTATTTAAGCCCTGTTAATCAATTCATTCCTCTAACTATAGTCAGAATGATCTTTTAAAAATACAAACATGATCACATGGAATTCTTAATTAAAACATCACAATGACTTTCATTGTTCCTAGGAAAAACATCCAAACTTTTAACCTTTAACATGGCTTACAAAGTACTGCTGTATTGAGCTTTCCTGCCTCTCTACCTGCCATGGCACTGCCACAAGGCCTTACAGAGTCCCTAGTACACAGAGGCATTAAAGGAATATTGAATGAATAGGTAAACAAACATTGTAACTTTTTTTCTCAGACAAGAAGCATCCAGAGAAAAGTAACAGACGGGGTGTGAACATTTCCCTGACCACCAGTTACAAAATCACACCTTCCTCCCTGCAGTCTCCATTTTCTAATAGTGTTTTATTTTTCTTAGAGGACAAATACTTGGCATATATTCATTTATATAAATAAACTCTATGATGGCAAAGATATGGTCTGGTTTGTTCACTGCTATATCTGCTAATGACTTGAGTAGTCTTTGATATAGAGTAGGTAAACAATACATTTCTGTTGAATGAATGAATGAATGAATGAACACTCTGCTCCCAAAGCATGCACTTGGCTCATCAGTTAATTGTCCTGAAAGCATTTTCAGAGGCTGCTTTGTCTTAAGTCATTATCCTCTTCCCCACCTACAATTCTACTCCCCAAGTTACCATTTGAGGAACTCATTTATTCATTATGAAGCCCAGTTTTTCTTCCCTCACTTAAAGAGTTTCATTGGCACCCCTTGCCTTCAGCATAAGTTCAAAATACTTAGCATAGATACATGACATGGCCCTTGCTAATATCGCCAGCACTAACTCTCACCTTCACCCCCTACTTTCTGTGTTATAGTCAAGCTAATCATTTCTCAGTTCTACATGTTCACCGTCTTCTTCCTCATTCATGGGTAAGTCTTTGCATAAACTGGTTCCCCTGTCTGGGACACTCTTCCCACAAATCCCTTTCACTCTTAATTTTTCTGCAGGTTTGTGCTTTAGAAGTAGTTTCTGCTGGGAAGGTGTCTTCAGAATGCAAATACTGGGGGAGTATTTTGTGTTCCCCCGGTACTTTGTACTATCATACAGTACTTGACCTCCCATAATTTTCATTGCTTATTTCTATGTATTTCCCCCAGATGGTAAGACCTTTGATGGCAAAGGTGATCATTGTTTACACACAGTAGCTGTGCATAAAAAGAGCATTTGTTGAATCTGAAAATGAGGAAAATAGCTCAGAATTCTAAGTCAGCTGCAAATCTCAGGCAGTTACTTTTTAGATTACACTAGGTATTTTTCTGCTGGGACCTAAATCATACTGGGGGTATGATAAAGTCTTACAGGTTACCACAAAGAGAGAAAGCATGATGGTTGATTGTCTGATGTGGATATAACATGCTTAAAGGAGTTCAGCTCAGTTGAAAGACAAACTGACACTGTCCAGAGAGGAACTGTCCTCATCTCCAGCAAATTGCTCAGAAAGACCAACTCTTTTTTTATCCCAAAATTTCACACCCGACTCGCTGCAGTAAATTCATCTAAGCTCTATATAACTTTTCGTAAATCTGCAAAAGCTGCAAAAAAACTGCCATGAAAAGCAAGCAAATGTAGGAAATATTCTGGAAAATATAGCATAATGCTGTGTGACATTAATTTATTGATTAGTCTTTGATTTTCTAGACAGTACTACCTTTGGGATAAGCTCTTAGATTTCACCATAAGTCCCATTACATTGACATATGATATTGTCTCTGAGATTGTAACATTATATTGCTACATGTGTAGAATAGGTAAGACTGGAATCTTAGCATAGCAAAATCTGTTCTTAAGCAGCAAAAGACAAGGCTAAATTCTACCTCCTCTTTTAAGATTATTTGGACAATCTAATACTTCATTGAGAGGAGCTGCATATATTTTCTCTGCCACAGCAGCAACAGGAAGACAAGTTGCTTCTTCTAATATAACAAACAGCTTACTAACTTCATTGTAAATGAGGAAGTAGGTCCCTGTTGTGGAGTCTGCAAGGATCACTCCAACAAAGCTGTGAAAATTACCCTTGGAGAGGCATATGAGATTAAAGGGTGAAGCGTATGAGGTTAAAGGTCCCAGACAGGGAGGCACTGCATGGCCTGTAATCCACACCAGTCACCCAAAAGCCTGAAGTTTGGTCATGGTAGACAAGGAGAAATCAGAGCAAGGACCCATGAGCCAATGCCTTTATGGAGTGTCATGGGTCGGGCAACTTGTGGCAGGCAGGAAGGATCCTCACTGGGTAATTTCAATGTAATTGAGTCAACATGGAAAGGAGGAAGAGCTAGAATGGGGAAGTCATTAGGCTTAGGGCTTGAATATACAAGTTGGGGACGGGTACCCAAATACAGGCAAAAACTAGGTAAAAGTTTAAAAATAAGCAGGGCAGGTGCCAGCATGAAGGGAGTCATTGAGGCGACAAATAACAGCTTTAAATTACGTTATCATAAATCAAGAACTGCCTTAGAAAGTAACTGGAAATATTGATCAATTGCTAGGAGAAAGAACAGTTCAGCATCAACTGAGTCAAAGCTCAAACATACACTGTGAGATAGATGCACATATGTATTCATGTAGACACCACTGGATATAATTCTCTATGATAAGCCCAATGTGATGGCTCATGCCTGTAATCCCAGAACTTTGGGAGGCTGAGGTGAGCAGATCACCTGAGGTCAGGAGTTCGAGACCAGCCTGGCCAAGATGGTGAAACCCCACCTCTATCAAAAATTCAAAAATTAGGTGTGGTAGTGTGTGCCTGTAATCCCAGCTACTTGGGAGGCTGAGGCAGGAGAATTGCTTGAACCCAGGAGATGGAGGTTGCAGTGAGCCGAGATAATGCCATTGCACTTCAGCCTGGGCAACACAGTGGGACTCTGTCTCCAAATAATAATAATAATAATAATAATAATAATAATAATAATTTTCTAACAATTTTTTTAGGTTTTTGAAAAATCCCTTGCTTCTCTTTCTTTGCCTTAGTTTCTTCATAAAAATGAGGATGATAGTATCTGCTTCACTGATTTGTTGTGGAGATTTGATTAGACAGGACACATAAAGTACTTTTCACATTATTGGTACACAGTAGCTCATCAAAAGTTGATTGATATGCCATGTAGGTGCTTTTTGTGGTTTCCAAATGAAGCATGATAATTTAATTTTAAAATGACCCTTGATTTTTCCCTGCTTGGTTCTAGCTGTCTGGGAAGGGAGGAGGGGGAGAGACCAATAAAAAAAAAAGGAGTATGTGGCGTGAAGGTGGAGGAATTATGGGGAGCTCAAAATGACTTTTTTACATTCAAGATGTTTCACTGATCAATCAGGCTGAAAACGCAAAAGCTTGCCTTTAAGCAGGTGACAATAGAAAGGGCAACCTTCCGAGGCAGGCAGATCACCTGAGGTCAGGAGTTCGAGACCAGCCTGGCCAACATGGTGAAACTCCATCTGTACTAAAAATACAAAAAATTAGCCGGGCGTGGTGGCGGGCGCCTGTAATCCCAGCTACTTGGGAGGCTGAGGCAGGAGAATGAATGAAGCCTGAAGTTTGGTCATGGTAGACAAGGAGAATCCAGGAGGCAGAGGTTGCAGTGAGCCAAGATCATGCCATTGCACTCCAGCCTGGGCAACAAGAAGGAAAAGAAAGAAAGAATAAAGGGCAAACTTTAAAAAAAAAATTGTCAGGGATTAAGCTAACTCATTATGTAAAGAGCTCACTATTCTTGAAATGGGTCATTTTCTGAGAGTTATCAAAAGAACCAGCTCCATTTGGCTAACACAATATCTTCTAGAAGTTTTAATTAAGACTAAATTAGATTACATACCAAGATGCTGTGTTAGCTAGACTCCAAAGATGGTGCTCCAGTGAGCCATGGTTCCTGATAGTCACACCCTATGCAGTCTCCTCTCCTTGACTGTAAACTAATTGTGACTCACTTTTGACCCACAGAATGCAGTGGAGGTGATACTATGGTCATAATGACCAGGGGCTGGGTCAGAAGAACTTCAGATTGAGCCTCTTGAAACATTTGCTCTTGGAATTCTCCCTCTCAGGAAACTAACAGCCTGCTATGAAGCCCAAGCCACAAAGAGAGGCCAAGGTAGGTACTCCAGTTAAAATCCTCAGCTGACTTTTAAGCCAATAGCCAGTGTCAACCACCAGCACTGTAAATGAGCAACCTTGGAAGTCCAGCCTTATTTGAGCCTTAATTTGACAGTGTGTAGCTCCAGCCAGCATTTGACTGTAACTGTGTGAGACATCTCAAGTGAGAATTGCCCAGCTAAGCCCAATCAATTCACAGAACAAAGTAAAATAATAATAAATTACTGCTTAAAGATCCTGTTTTGGGGTAGTGTTTTGGGGTTTTGTTGTTGTTGTTGTTGCTTTTAATTCAGCAAAAGATAGTAAGAACAGATGCCTATCAAAACTCTTGGCACAGAGTATAGAATGTAAATAAAATAAATTTGATTGAATCAGACATTTATTAGAGAGTTTAATGTTTAATCTGCTATTCAACTGATGTCAAAACAAACTTAGTAGAGAGAAGTAATATGGTATTTCAACAATCTCAAGATGAACATATTTTAATTTCCCTAAAATTAAAATTCATCCTATACTTAGACTGTATAATTGACACTATTTAGTTTTCTTTTTTAGAAATACTTAAGGATCCATATTATAATTGGTGGCATCTTAGATCATGAAATATAACATATTTATTAGAGGGATAGTCTAGAAGACTCCTCCTTTGAACAACTTCCTCAGAATTTCCTGGAGAATTAGTTTAAATAGCTTCCTGGTCCTCACTAAATCAAAATATAGTACCAAAATATAGTATCAAAATATAGTGTATTTGGAGCTAGACAAATTTCTGGGTAATACTTATGTTTAATGATGTCTGAGAAACATTGACTCAGGTAGCTAAATCTCTGTACTAAGTTAAAAAATTAGGTGACCAGGCCTATACTACTTTAACTCTTCATTGATATATGTACATTAAGTTGTAATTGGCATTATGCTTTTGCATTTGTAAAGACTTGCGTTGAGTAATTCAGTAAAGAGATTTAAAAATACTCTTACTTTAAAACTCCATAAATTGCAATCTCTATTATATTGTCAGTGGAAAACTCATTTTAAAGATTACATGAATCTCTTCCTTGTTACATATCTTTTGATCTGTTATTGTTACTTCAGTGATTTAATCGCCTATATTTCATCTATTCTAAGTCATCTCACATATGTATGTTACATTAAATCCCAACATTGCCAACAATTTAAAAATATTTAGATATTATAATGAAGAATGGCATCTGTTAATTATATATCCCTGGATAAAACATAAAAATAATTTTCAAATTGAGATGTACAGTACTCTAAAAGCTGGTTTAAATCTGTACAGAACATGCTTTCTAAATATTTAAATTTTTCTTTCAATGTTTGAATTGCATGGGGAAGTGTACTTGTTTTGCAAACATGAAACAGATTACCTTCAGACTTACAAAAAGTGCCTATTGCTTAGCTCTTAAACTCTTTTTCTAGAAATTCAGAAATTGTTGAGTGAATTAAATTTGACATTTAACACCCTTTAGTCATGTTGCTATTTATTTGTGGCTTCTTTCTGTGCACTGAAGTACAGCTTGGAGGCAAATACACTATGAAGATGCTGTAGTCTTTGGCAGCCTTGGTAGTGAAACTTTCCATTTGATGAATAATTAAAGCTATTGCAATAGCTTTATAGTATTGCAGTCATCTCCATCCATCTCATGAAAAACCTTTTTTCCATGATTTTATTTTTGGAATCTTTTGTTTAAATTCTAACTTTGAGAAAATAGGGACAAAAAGACACGTTAATAAAATTGTAGAGAGTGAATTCTGCTTCTTCTGGTGGCAGAAAAGAAGGGCAGATTGTGTAACAATCATCTTTACCTTGAGGCACTATACACAGAACTGCGTTTTGTATAGCAATTCAGATTTAAAAGTTATGCAACAAATGTTTATAGAATGAATTCTGCAATAGAATCAAATTCCATGTGGCTATGGAAATCCTATGTAGGTATGGTTCTCTCTACAGTAGAGAGAATTAACTTGTGGCAATAATATTTTGAAAGTTGAAAAATATGTAATTTATTTTTAATTAGAACCAATTTCAATAGGAAACAAAGGGGGTAAGTTCACATTAGATATATCCAGGGATTAAAGTTCATCTGGGATTACACACTCAAATATACATGGAATGTTTGTGATTTTTTAAATAAGAATTAACATAATATTTATCCTAAATATGTCTTTTTCTGATTGTGAATTTGAATAATAGTGTTCCTTCCAAAAGTGTTTGTATTTAAGCAGTGTATTAGAGTTGAAATTTTCCCATTCAACTGCATTTGGGCAAAATAAACTTTTTCTACATTATTTTACATTACAAGAAATATAGTAGCCATTAAACTAATGCCATTCCAAATCAAAAGAATTCATTTTGATGATAACCAACATTAAATACCACTTGAACTATCATAATCAAAAAAGTATCCACTGGGAATACTGAGCTAGGGAAATGAAAATGTTTCCAAAGTGGGATTTATGATTAGCAATGTCTAATAAAAGAACATCTCAATCTTTTTAATTATATCAGTGTAATATAAGGAACACTAAATAATGCCTTCTATCATAAAGCTATTGATGTTCATCAGTTATTTATTTATTTTGCATTCTGTAGTATTACTTTTCTCTCTTTCTTCTAGTCTAAGTAGTAGTGGAGTACTGGTACTTAAAAGAGTAGTGGTTGTACTAGTTATCCTAGTTGTACTCATTGTACTAGTTATAAGAATAATCATAGGAAGAACTTTCATTTGCTGAGCATTTACTATATTCCTAGCACTGGTGTAAATGCATTAGCCCATCTAAGAGATTAAGAAAATTACTTAAGATTCTGCAGCTATTAAGTGAGACAGTGGGGATATGAACTCCCAGTATGTCCTGTGCCACACTGTGAGCCTTTACCAAAATTTTTGTAAGTATCATGATTTTGTCTATAACCTTTGTTTTAAAAAGTGTCACCAAAGCAAACATGAGTTTTATTAAAATGTAATAGGATATTATTATTTACATAGAACAATAAATTGTATGATATGAGTATTCATTTTGTCAATAACTTAATAGTGATCCAGAGATGCAAATGAAGTAGTCTCCACTTTTTACTCATTATTTTAAATTTCTAGTTTTCAGGCCAGGTGCGGTGGCTCACACCTGTAATCCCAGCACTTTGGGAGGCTGAGGCAGGCAGATCATGAGGTCAGGAGTTCGAGACCAGCCTGACCAACATGGTGAAACCCTGTCTCTACTAAAAAAAAATACAAAAATTAGCCGGGCCTGATGGTGCATGCCTGTAATCCCAGCTACTCAGGAGGCTGAGGCAGGAGAATCGCTTGAACCTGGGAGGCGGAGGTTGCAGTGAGCCGAGATTGCGCCATTGCACTCCAGCCTGGGTGACAGAGCAAGATTCCATCTCAGAAAAATAATAATAATAATAATAATAATTCTAGTTTTCAGTATTGTCAGCATGAATCAGGTCACTGTAGAAATTAATACATTCTTAGAATGGAAACTGATAAGCAGAGATTATCAAGCTAGAAAAAGAGTAAGAAATTATGTGATTCACAGTCAAGTGAATCCGGAATGCAAAAGTCAGACTCAAGCTTCCGAGAATGAGTCTAGGTTATCTAGAAAAAGCATCTGAAATATTAGTAATCAAATTTTTAGGAAGTCAGATTCTCAGCCAATTAACTATATAAACTCTACATGATTACTTTGGTTAATTGAACAGATATCTAATAGATGAGTGTGGTCCACAAATATGATTACCTGCCAAAGATCTAGCAAACATCTGATCAAGAATAGTAGAAGCCAAGCAAAACCAAAACAGGGTCAGGTAAAGCAGGGAACCAAGATTATGACTTTTTGCAAACGCTTGACTGACTCACAAGGTAATATATTTTTCAACTCAAAAAATATGATTCAGTAAGGTGTGTCCAAACAAGCTAAATTATTAAAGAGAACTGCAAAGTCTGCATATGAAAAGATGCACATGAACCTTGAAAATGCTTTTGTTGCATTATTTAGAATAGTTATAAATGTCAGGTTACTGCTAGCCATACTTCTCTTAAGAGTGGCATTTGCAAAATAATATTTGCCAAAGTTCATGTGACTATTTTTGTGAAAACCATAGAAAAACTTCCTTTTACAAAAAGTTATGTGTACCCTTAACAAAGATACTAGAACAGATGCTGGTGTAACTATTATTTTTGTCATTCTTACCTAATAGACTTGAATTAGTATATCCCTAGGATGTCTTCAATACATATTTCAGATTTTTATGAGCAATGTGATTGCCTCATAAGGAAATTACTTTAATTAAAATTGTTTGACAAACTATCAAAAGTCACTGCAAGTGTTCATGGATTATCCATTAAACATTCAAAAAGGTCATTTGTTCAAAGTATTTTAATTTTGTTTTCATATTGAAAAATGCTTTAGGCATTTATATAATTATACATTATATTTTAATTTATGTATATATTTAATGTAAATATAATAATACATTATATTTTCCTTATTCTACTATTCATGGACAAAATAATTTGTAGTGACTCAGATTGTTCCTGCTTTTATTAGTTTGTAGTTTATATTGGAATTCAGAAATTTCATAAAATTTTTTCTAGAGAAGCATACACTTAACAACATTCTGGCTTTGAAAAGTAATGTTGAGAAATAAAATTCTGCATAAAATTAATTTATATTGTTGGGAGGAATTGGAAAAGTGAAACAATATTTAATACATAAATGAGTGGGTTCAAATAGGCAGAAAATAGTGGTGCCAAATTAAACAATGTTCATTAGTAAAATACATGCTGAAATAAACACAACATTACACAAATTATTT
The DNA here is from genome assembly GCF_000001405.40 of Homo sapiens. NCBI lineage: Eukaryota > Metazoa > Chordata > Mammalia > Primates > Hominidae > Homo > Homo sapiens. The sequence goes on along the minus strand of NC_000004.12, from coordinate 129,766,575 downwards.
TTAAAAACTAGCATTTTAGCACTCATGAAATGGAGTACTTCTAAAGAAGTAACATTATACAGCATATTAATCTTATAAATTTTGTTTTTTAATCAAACTTTTAAATTTTGTGAAAATTATAAATCCCATGCAGTTGTAAGAAATAATACAGAGATCCCATTTACCATTTATCCATTTGTACTAAATGGCAACATCTTGTGAGATTGTAGTATAATATTATAACCAAGATATCGACATTGAAACAGTCAAAATACAGAACATTTCCATTACACAAAGATCTCTCATGTTGCCCTTTTATAGCCACACACATTTCTCTCTCACCAGGCACCAGCCCCACCTCACCCCACCTCCTTAACTCTTGACAGACACTGATCTATTCTTCGTTTCTCTAATTTGACATTGTAAGACGTAGTTACTCTGTACATAACGTTTTGAGATTGGTTTTTTTCTTTCATCAAAATTATCTGAAGATTTACTGAAGCTGTAGTATACATCAATAGTTTGTTCCTGTTTCTTGCTGAGGAATATTCCAGGCATGGATGTATTGTGGTCTGATTATTCACTCATTAGAGGACATCCAGGTTGTTTCCAGCCATTGGCTACTATGAATAAAGCTAGTATAAATGTTTGTTCGGGGTTTTTTTGTGTGTGTGTGAGACAGTAAGTTTTTATTTATCTGAGATAAATGTCCAGAAGTGCAATTGCTGAGTTATATGGAAGTTGCACGATTCATTTTTAAGGAAACTACCTAGCCATTTTCCAGAGTAGCTGCTCAATTTTTATATTCCCACCAGCAATGTTGAATGATTCCGTTTCTCCACGTCCTCATCAGTATTTGGTGTTGTCATTATTTTTTCTTTCAGCCATTCAGATAGGTGTGTAGTGGTATCTCGTTGTAGCTTTAAATTGCATCCCTAATGGCTAAGGATGTTGAAGATCTTCTATCATGTTAGCTTGCCATCTGCATGTCTTCTTCGCTGAAATGTTTATACCTCTGCCAATTTTCTAATTGGATTGTTTAATTTTTAACTGTTGAGTTTGAGAGTTCCTTATATATTCTAGATACTAGTCTGTCTTAATTCATTCAGGCTCCTGTAATAAAATACCATAAGCTGAGTAGCTTATAAACAACAGAAATTTATTTCTCACAGTTCTTGGGGCTAGGAGGTCAAAGACCAAGGTGCCAGCAGATTCAGTGTCTGGTAAGGGCCCCTTTGCCTGGTTCATAGATGTTGCCTCCTCACGATGTCCTCACATGTTAAAAGAGTTTCATGTGAGGACACAGTGTGGTGTCTTCTATAAGGACAGTAACTCCGTCTACAAGGACTCTGCCTTCATGATCTAATCATCTCCCAAAGGTTCCACCTCCAAATACCATAAACTTGAGTGGTGGGGGATGATTTAAACATATAAATTTTGGGGTGAGCCAAACATTCAGACCATAGCAGTTGGATTTTCATTCAGTTTAATGTGTTTTTGAATTTTCCTTGAGATGTCATCTTTGAACCACAGACTATTTAGAAATGTGTTGTTTAGTTTCCAAGTGTATGGAGATTTTCCTATTATCTACCTGTTAGATTTTTTTTTTTAATACAGAGTCTCGCTCTGTCACCAGGCTGGAGTGCAGTGACATGATCTTGGCTTACTGCAACCTCCGTCTCCCAGGTTCAAGTGATTCTCCTGCCTCAGTCTCCTGAGTAGCTGGGACTACAGGCGTGTGCCACCATACCCAGCTAATTTTTGTATTTTTAGTAGAGACAGGGTTTCACTATTTTGGCCAGGATGGTCTTGATCTCTTGACTTTGTGATCCGCCCGCCTTGGCCTCTCAAAGTGCTGGGATTACAGGTTTGAGCCACCGTGCCTGGCCTACCTATTAGATTTCTAATTTGATTTAATTGTGGTCAGAAAGGACCCTCTGCATGATTTCAATAATATTAAATTTGTTGAAGTTTGTTTTATGGCTCCCAGAGAAGTCTATTTTGGAATATGTTCATTGAAACTTAAAAAAGAATGTGTATTCTGCTGTTGTCTGGTGTTTTATAAATGTTATTCAGACCTTGTTGGTGGATGATTGCAATGGTTTGGATTTGTGTCCCCACCCAAATCTCATGTTCAATTGTAATCCCCAATGTTGGAGGTGGGGCCTGGTGGGAGGTGATTGAATCATGTGAGAGGTTTCTTGTGAATGGTTTAGCACCATCCCCTCTGTGCTGTTTGTGTGATAGTGAGTGAGTGAGTTATGGAGAGGTCTAGTTGTTTAAAAGTGTGTAGCACCTCTCCTCTCTTGCTCTTCCTCCTGCTCTGGCCATGTAAACACCTCTTTGCCTTCCTCCATGATTGTATGTTCCCTGAGGCCTCCCCAGAAGCTGATGACACCATGCTTCCTATACAGTCTGCAGAACCCTGAGATAATTAAGCCTCTTTTCTTTATAAATTACTCAGTCTCATATATTTCTTTGTAGCAAGTGAGAACAGACTAATACAATGATGTTGTTTAGTTTTTTTAACATACATGCTGATTTTCTGTTTAGTTGTTCTGTTAGTTGTTGACAGTGCCCAGAAAGATATCAGGAGGAAATAGAAACTGTCCAGAGTTAGAACTCATTCAAAGGTCATTTTGATGTTAGACAGAACCATTCTAAGTGTCATATATATTTTGACCATTCATATATTCCATAGCATAAAATTAAAGATATACTGAATTATCTGGTAAGCTTAATGTATCTTGTCAGGCTTTACCCACAGAAATAGAACCAGCAGGAGATATGTATGAAGAGATTTATTATAAGCTATTGGATTATTGTGAGACCTAGTTAGGCAAGTTCAAATACTCAGGGCATGCCATCAGGAAGGGAACACTGAATCTCTCAGCACCAGGTGAAGCTGCTATCCACAGGTAGAATGTCTTAATCTTTAGGGAAATCTCATCTCTACTCTTAAAGCTTTTCAACTGGTTGGATCAGGTTAACCTACATTATCTAGCATCACCACCCTTAGAGTTAACTAATTATGGACTTTAATCCATCTATAAAACACCATCACAGTAACACCTAGATTAGTGTGTGATTGTATAACTGGGGGTGGTAGCCTAGCCTAGTTGACATGTTGAACTGACCATCACACCTGCTTTCATTGATCAAACTGTCTCACCTTCAGATGTCTCCTCAAAGATGTCTCCATTCTATGAGGCTTTCTCCAACACTTTAATTAGAATTGCATTACCTCCCACTCAAAACTCCTTATTCTCCTTTCTTGTTATTTTTTCTTTGCATGAATTGCTGTCTCACAATTTAAGCAATATCTTACTTGCTTAATTTGTTTTTGTTTCCATCACTAAAATATAGGCACCATGAGGGTAGTTGTTTTTGTACAGCCCTTTTTTACATTCTTGATACCTAGAATGGAGGTTGGCATACAGTAGACACTCATTAAATATTTGTTTAATGGATAAACAAAATTATCCAGATAGTTGCCTAATTTCCACAATTATTTATGTTATATAAATGTACATAGAAGGTGGCCGTGGGTAAAATAGCATGAAGCTCTATATTAAGTCATTAAATAACACAGCTTAGTTTGCAAATCCAATAGTCCCCTGAAAAAGATTGTTATTTTTCAGCATTTTAATTGAAAATAGAAATATCTCTTTATCATTAAATTGTAGTATTATTTCTGTGCAGCCAGAAAATAGGTGTGTATCACAAGAAAATAAACACTAAAGCTATCCATGATTTTGAGGAGATAATTTTTTACTTCAAAATGCATTGTTTCATTTACATTATAGATATGAGAAATAACATTCCAAGAACATAGTAACACTAACATATATTAAACTCCACAAAATACTCATCTACATACCAAATTTTAAACTATATACATACTCTTTGACAAATCAATTCCACTTTTAGAATTCCATTCTATCTATATGCTTTAAAAAGTTTGCAAAGACAGTTGTACATGGATGTCCAACACAAAATGAATTAGAATGGCAAAAAGAATAACCTAAATGTTTATCAAGAAAGGACTAGTTAAATAAAATATACACTTATACTATGAATTACTATGCAACAGGTAAAAAGAGAGATAAAAAATTATGAGTAAATAGTTCTGAAGTACATTAAGTGAAAAATTAAGAATACAATAAAGAATATGTATTATGAGCCCTTGTATATAAAAAGAATAAATGTGTTTATTTAAATATGCTTGACTATCACTAAAGAATTGTCAGAAAAAATTTTAAGAACGTAATAGTGTTTATCTCTAATTTATGATGCCAAGTAAAAGCACATTTTTACTTTTCTTTTTTTAACATTTAGGTATTAATTGTTTTCAAAGTGCATTTGTCACTTTATGATTAAAAACTAGGTTACAGTAAATAAATAATATATGCATAAGCTTTGACACAGCAATTTTGTATCTAGTAATTTATCCTAAAGAAATGATTAAGGATGTGCATAAAGATTTATGTATGTAATGTTCATTGCAGCATTGTTTATTACAACAAAAATGGAAAATAGCCCATCCTGCAATATGAGAATGTGGTTAAATAAATTACAATGCATCTATTTTATGAATGCTATGTACTCATTAAAATGATGCTGTGAAAGTTTTATCCTAAATGGTGTATCATCTTTTATTAACAACTTTTAAAAGAGGAAGGAGAGAGTTACAAAACAGCATATATCATATATGCATATTCTCAAGATGTCTATATGTCAAAGTCTTAATTGATTGTTTAGTTGGTTTCTGGATGGTTTTTCTGTTCTTTGTGTATTCATGTACTTTCAAAATTTTTATAATAACTTGAATTACTTTTAGAGACAGAAAACATATTATAAAAAGCAATTAGCATTATATTTACAAGCATGAGAATTTTTCCTGCATAAGAAAATAATAAGTGTGAAGTTTAGAAATTGTGATGCCCTTGTCTCAGATATTTATTACTTACACCAAAAGAGTGATTTGCAGTCCTGAAAGGAGAAAGAATAAACCTGATCAAACACTTGATGTGATAAAGTTAGATAAAATCAGGATCACTGGGAAACACTCAAGAGCCAAGTCTTAATGAAGGCACATACCTATTTTCTAAAGGCACAACAATAATTTAGAATAAAATAATTAATTCTACTTTTATTATTGTTATATCACCTCACTTTGTTTCAAAATAAAAGTAATCATGAAGATTACCATTTGCCAATATCCACTATATGATTTTTATGTGAGTCTTACAAGATAAGTCTACATAATTAGACTTAATACCCACTTTTTGGGGGATTTGTGGCTACTAAATTAAAATGTCAAAGAAGCTTAAAAGTTTGTTAAAATATTTGCAACTAGTAAACAATACAGCTAGAATATAACTAGATTTCCTTGAACCTAAACTCAATACTTTCTATTATCTTCCCAGCCTGCCAAAATATTTTTCTGTTTATGTTCAACAAATCTGATGTCCAGAAACTCTCCAGATAGTGGGACACTTGAAGGAATGAAATCAGATAATGTCTATTTGTCAAAGGAAAGTTGGTTATGAGCCAAAAACAATCATAGAAGAAAGCAGAATTACAGGAAAGAATTTACTGCAGTAGTAAGAGGAGTTGACACAAAACTTCTAGTTTTTTTTATTTTTTTTATTTTTCATTGAGACAGGGTCTCACTCTGTTGCCCAGGCTGGAGTGGAGTGGCATGAGCAGAGAGCACTATAGGCTCCACTTCCTGGGCTCAGGCAATCCTCCTGCCTCAGTCTCTTGAGTAGCTGGGACTACAGGCAGGTGCCATCACTCTTGGTTAATTTTTTAATTTTTTTTCTTTATTTTTAGAAAAAGGGTCTTGCTATGTTGCCCAGGCTGGTCTTGAACTCCTGGGCTCAAGTGTTCCTCCTGCCTTAGCCTCCCAAAGTGCTGGAATTAAAGGCATAAGCCACCACATTTGTCCAAAATGTCCAGTATTTAAAAAGTTACCAAATAATAATTTTTGCTTCTTTTAGGGTCACCTTTTGTCTCAGGCTGAAAATTTTGAGAATGGTATCAAGGGCTTGTTTTGGGCAAATCAATTATTTACCAGTTTCAGCCTTTTCTTACAGAAGGGCAATAGTGAAGAGAATAGAAAAGGTTTGGTGGGGACCCCTGTGTCATGGCTTACAGGAATTTGATATACACCTGGAAGAATCTGATGACAGCATGAATGGCACCTTGACAAATGTAGCAGTAGAATTGACTAAGGCTACAGAAGTAGAATTAGCACTGGTGCTGGATCAACAGTACTGATGAGGTGTTTAGACTAGTGAAGATAGCAGGGAAAGCCCCAGACAGGCTCAGAGGTTGCATGAATGGTTGCCTATAACAGGAGGCAAGAGCCATTCAACTTGTCATTACAAGCAGAGCAAAATGGGAGAGGGATGCAGCCTACAAGATGGGTCTATTCACTGACTAAATCTCAAAGTAAATCCCCTCACCTCAGAAAGGAGTTAAAGCCTTCGAACTGTCATAAAACTCTCCAAAGACCCTGATACTAGCTATGCAGTATATGGAAAAGTGAAGTAATATATATTTCTCATAAGAATAGAAAATATAGATTTTTATTAGTTTTTAAATATATAAATGAATTACAGCTATGAGCATTTTATCATAATCAAGTAATCTCTACTCCATTTGTATTTGGCAAACCTATCTTCAAGAATATGTTTAGTGATGATGAAATGTCATGACTTTGTAATACTTTATATCTTCTTAGAATCTTCTGTGGATTTTCTGTTCTCCCTAGTTATTGTAAATATTTAAAATTGTTGGTTAAAAATAAAACGTTAAACATCTCTTCTCTTTTACCAGTGCAATTATCCAGTTTCTAAACTTAACCAAGAGGTTCCTTTCATGTCTTTCTCTTTGCTCTTTCTGTTCTTTCCCACCATGATCTCTTTCTCTTCTGAGTCAGATTTCCAGGGAAAGATAAAAAGGAATCCTCAGTGTCTTAGAGTTTAGATGTGGAAGAAACAATGCATTAACAATAGTGACTCTGAGCTATGTAATCCTATGTAGAAGGGAGAGAGTAAAAAGTAATCACCTTATGTTTAAATACTGGTAACTCATCAGCAAGCAATACTGAGCAGTTACATTTCAAAAGCAGTAGTATAATAATGGAGATACCCATTTTGGAATAGTGGGTACAGATACGATTTAAAACAGTGAGACTGAATGAAATAATAATAATAATAAAACAAGTATAGATAGGGGAGAAAAGTCCAGGGACAAAGCTCTGGAAACCCAGCAAAGAAGACTGAGAATGAACAGCTAGTAAGATGAGAGAACTAAGAGAAAGAAAGGTTAAGCATTTCAAGGAGAGAGTCATTTACTAAGTCAATTGCTATTGACGGATAAAATAAAACAAAAAGTGAGAATTGGTCATTAGATTTAGCAACACAGACACTAGTAACCTTGATTAAGTACTTTCAGTAGAGTTATGTGGGAAAAAATGCAGATCGGAGGTTCAAGAGAGATAAAGGAAGAAGCAAGATTGGAAAACTCTTTTGAAGAGCTTTGCAGTTAATTGTGGGAGTAAAAGAGTGCATTTGCTGGAGATAAAACTGCAATCAAGCACAGGTTCTTTTCAAATGGGAAAAGTACCATATGTTTGTATGCTAATAGGAAGGATACAACAGAGAGGAAAATCTGAGGATAAGTAGGAGAGGAAAGAATTGTACTTGAGTAGACAAGAGACCAGTATCTAGTGCACAAGAGTACGTGGTCTTAGCAAGAGCACAAGCATCTCATCTGTAGGAGCAAAAGAGATGAATGAACTAATTAGTTTGCTTGTGGTGATCATTTCACAATGTATGCATATATCAAATTATCACATTCTACACCTTAAATATGTACAACCTGTGTTTGTCAATTATATCTCAATAAAGCTCAGGGGAAAGAAAGGTAGAAAATATGGGCATAGATATGATAGATGGGTAGCTAGCTTGATGGAAGTTCTTTTCTGACAGTTTTATGTTCCCAGTGAATTCCAAGGTAAGATCTGAGAGTATGGGGGATGGAGAAAGTATTAGAAAAATTGAAGTGAAAGAAGATAAGAAATAGTTATTCAAGAGAGTAGGAATGGAAAATGACTTGGCAATACAGTATGATTACTGCAAAGCTTTAAGGGCCTCTTAAAGATAAATTATTATGAATTTAAATTGAGACATATGTGTATGTCAGTTGTGCAAGGGCAAGCAGAAAGAAAGCAAAGAGCTGGATCTAACCAGGCAGCAATTTAGCCAAGAGAGCAAAACCAAGTAAGAGAGGGACAAAGGAGTTGATGGTATATGCAAGGAAATAATAATGATTGACCATGGTATTAAATCTAGGTGAGGAGGAAGGGATACAAGGGTAAGGAACAGTGAAAGGCATTGGATAAATGGATCAAAGGTTGTATTAAGCTCCTTGGATTATAGGAATTATAGGAGATGGCTTACTAGAGAGAGTAAACAAAAAAAGCAAAAAGTTGTAGTCACAGAGTGAGACAAAAATAGGTGTTAGTTTATTGAAGATCAGAAGCAATGGAGTAGTGCTTATATTTCTCTCAGCTGATGGTCCTAGCCACAAAAAAAAAGCCCTGCTTTTCATAACACGTGCATTGGAAATTTGAGGCATTTTTAAATTAGTAAATAATCCCATTTGGGAATCTATGAGTATTTTGAGAGAGGAGGTTTCATAAAATGATGTGACGAGATTCAACTATCTAAGCTATAGTAGCATCATATGTTTGCAACTATATAAACAAGCATATTGACCAAAACACTGAGGTATCTTTTCTTAGCTGTCACTATTTGTGTAGCTGAAGTAAGTAAAGGCTTTTCTCTACAGATGAATTTACATCTTGTTAATCTGACATTTAAATGGAATTTAGAAGTTCCTTTGCTATTGAATTGTCATTTAATCTAGCTAATCTAGATATTTTAAAGATATATTCCTTAGCCGTGCATTAGGCTTTGAAATTAATTAGTATACAGATTCCCTGAAGTGTACATTCTCTGTAAATTGAGTGCAAAGAGGATTAGTGTACAGGCAGTGAAAATCGCTTGTGGAAAATACGAGCACTTCCAAGCTCATTGCATTTAAGTACGCCAAGTGTTTTAGTTTGGCTAGTTCTTGATCAACGGGCATTTCAATTTTAATGCTGAACTAACTTGGCCAGACAGGAACAAAATAAGCAAGTACACTTGTCTATCTATATTATTATGACTATATCTAAGGTTGCAGGACTTATGCATAAGAAAGAAGAAAATAATAAATTATATAGATATAAGCACTTCAATGGTCATGATTTGGCAACCTCTGAATTATGAGACAATGAAGTGGTATTCCCTTCAAATTTAGCTATTTTTCTTCAGTTATTCAAAAACAAATAAGGAAAGCTTGAAAATCTATGTTGCCAGATAGCCCCTGGTCTGTGCTAAGTAGTAATTATCTGAAAAAGTTTATTAGAGTTTTGGCCATATTGTTCATGAACGGGAGAACAATGAATATTTCATTCACAAGTTCAACAATATCAGTCTCCTGCAAAAACCCAAGATCAATCTTATGTGACAATCAGTGAATGATATTTAGTCACTAATTGCAGACTACAATTATTGTCTTTGCATCCATTAGGTTAACTTTCCTAGTTCTAACTTACTTCCTGTCAAAAACAAAAAGTCTAGTCTAAGTTGCATAAAACAATAATGATGAGCTAAAAGCAAACAAGATGTGTAATCCGCTACACACTTGTCAGGACTGATGGACCCATATATTTGAGTCTTTTCTTACAGGTTTCTGAAGTATCACTCCCCAATAAAAAATTAATTAGTATTGAAATGCATAGATGAGGAAATGATAAGGTGTATTGGTTCATATACAATAAACTGTAAAACAAGCATATAGCAGAGTAAAAAGTAATAACATATTTTCAATAGCTATTTTTTTGACCAACCTACTACACACAAGCATAAGCTACAGGATATGGAGGCTTTAGAGGAAAGTTGCCAAGGAGGCAAAACACAAATAAATACCTATTATGCAAGGAAAAAAAATGATACTCACTCAATAGAAGTAGAAATAAGTGAATTTGGGAAGGTTTCCTAAGGGTGATTGAAAGGATTTGGACAAACATCAATAGCATAAGGGAAGATAGTGGCAGGGGAAGGAGGAGGGAAAGGTGGGTGGAAAGCTTGCATGCAGGGAGTCTAGAGGCTGTATTTGGAGCAATGGTGATGCTCACTATGGCATGGGGCATAAGACTTACTTATGAAATATCAGGGAATCAAATTACAGAGGTAGATTGGGCTGCATGAACATATAGAAACCAGCAGTTCTCTGACGGGTGCAATGGCTCATGTCTGTAATCCCAGCACTTTGGGAGGCTGAGGTGGGAGGATCCCTTGAGACCAGAGTTCAAGACCTACCTGGGCAACATAGTGAGACTCTGTCTTTACAAAAAGAATTTTAAAAATTAGCTGGGCATGGTGGAACACACCTGTAGTCACAGCTGCTCAGGAGGCTGAGTTGGGAGGATGACTTAAGCCCAGGAGTTCAAGGCTGCAGTGAGCTATGATTGCACCACTGCACTCCAGCCTGGGCAACAGAGCAAGAACCTGTCTCTAAAAAGTATAATATAAACAAACAAACAAACAAACCAGCGGTTCTCAGAGTGTCATCCAGAAACCTCTGGGAGCTCCTGAGACCATTCCAGGAGGTCTGCAAGGACAAAACGATTTTAATAATATTAAGATCTCATTTTTCCCTTTCACTTTCATTCTATCGTGAGGGTAGAGTGGAGTTTTCTAGAGGATATGTGGCACGTGATATCTCAGCAGATTGAATGCCTGTGGGGCAGATATGAGAAAGCAAGTCTTCTATAAAGCCAGACATTAAAGAGATTTGTAAAAAAAAAAGTAGAACAATGTGAGTCTTCACTACTTTTTTGTTTTGGGAAATATAGTTATTTTTCATAAAAATATTGCTGTTGTTAACATGCAATATGCTTTTATTTTAAATGTATTAAGACTATTTAAAATTTACGCTAATTCTTAATATGACAAATATGAATATATTTAAGTTACATTTATGGTGGGGGAGCACTTTGGTATCTTCAATGATTTTAAAGTGTATAAAGGAGTCCTGAGACCAAATGTTTGAGAAATGCTGGTATACATTAAATAATTTGGGCTTTCTCCATTAGGAAGGATTTGAAGGAGGCAGAAGTGGTGATTGGAATTTATTGAATATGATGGGACATAGTCAAAGTTTAGAGCTTCGCCATATTTATCTGCTATTTCAGATTTCACTGAAAACAATGTTTTGCAGCATTTATAAAATTGCCCCTTTCGCTTTTCTAAACAAGTCTCCTTCTATGTTAAAGAGCACACAGCATTTATGTTAGGCGCCTCTTGTGCCCCACTTTTGTAAATTTTATTTTTTATTTTAGATTCAGGGGATACATGTGCAGGTTTGCTACACGGGTATACTGCAATGCTGAGGTTTGACTGTTTATTGATCCCATCACTGAGACAGTGAACATAGTAACAACAGGAAGTCTTGCAGCCCTTGTCCCCCTCCTTCTCTCCCTGTTTTCAGAGCCCCTCGTGTCTGTTGTTCCTATCTTCACATCCATGTGTACCCAAGTTTTAGTTCCTACTTATAAGTGACAACATGTGATATTTGATTTTCTGTTTCTGCATTAATTCCCTTAGGATAATGGCTTCCAGCTTCATCCATGTTGTTGTAAGCGACCTGATTTTGCTCCTTTTTATGGTGATACAGTATTCCATGGTGTATATGTACCACACTTTCTTTATCCAATCCACTGTTGATGGGCACCCAGGGTGATCCTGTCTTTGCTATTGTGAAATAGTGCTGCAATGAACATACAAGTGCGTGTGTCTTTTTGATAGAATGGTTTATATTCCTTCGGATATATACCCAGTAATGGGATTGCTTGGTCAAATGATAGTTCTATTTTTAGTTCTTTGAGATATTTTCAAACTGCTTTTCACAGAGGATGAACTAATTTACATTCCCACCAACAGTGTATAAATGTTCCCTTTTCTCTGCAACCTCACCAACATCTGTTATTTTTTGACGTTTTAATAATAGCCATTCCGACTGGTGTGAGATGAGATTTTATTGTGGTTTTGATTTGCATTTCTCTGATGACTAGGGATGATGAGTATTTTTTCAGATGTTTGTTGGCCACTCCAGCTATTATTGTCATCATCAGTCCTGCATAGGCTTCAACCATTCTGCCCAGGTGCCCTCAGCCTTGACTCAGGCCTGCACCACCTGTGTTACTCTTTGCTCCTGGGATCCTATGGATTATAGTATGAGATGCCCATGGGAACCCACTCTGTGCTCACACATGTACCCCACCCAAAAATGTACAATGCCATTATTGAGCAATGAACAATAAGGACCAATAAATAAACATTTCCAACTTTTCTCTCCCTGAGTCAAAAGTTCTGAGGCACATTTCCTAAGGCTTCTCACAAGGTGCCAAAGGAACAAGCAATATTGTTTATTAGAGTAAACAATTTAATAACCCAGCCTTGTTTGGTTTCTCATCCTTTCCGGTTTTACCTCCAGTCTATCCTTCACTTCTTTTTCTTGAGATGACATTTGCAAAATGCCCTTAAATAACAATGTAAACCAAATAATATATTAATAATAATGTAGTTCAGCAATAAAATGTATCTATTGGTTAAGCCTCTACTGGGTACTACTACTATTACTGCCACTCCCATAATAATAATAATAATAATAATAATAATAATAATAATGACAATAATAAGTAAAAGTACTCAATGAACCAGAAAAATAAAATATTTTAAGCCCTTAAGATCCTTCTCTATATTAAGTCTGAAGAGTAATGGTCAAGTATCTAATTTAACATTTTCCCAGTGCCTCTGAATTTTGAGTAATTTTTCTGTCTTTAACAGAAACATTTCTCCTATGTATTCAATTTCATTCTATCCCCATTATTACCACATAGTGACATCTCATAGGTCACTGTTAACTTCCAAAATTTCCTCTGGCAGAAAGCCCTCTTCTCAGGACTTCCAGTCAAAGTTATGGCCCCAGTTGAGTGTGCTGAGCATACTTACAAGAAATAAACCTATCATGGTTGTATTAATAAGCCAGAGACTGTGACCCTCTCATTTAACACATTCTGCTTAGTAATTATTAAATAACTATGAAGGGAAGCTTAGTGCCCTTTTAGTAACCTACCTCATTCATAGTTTTGGCCTTGTGGTCAAGACTGACATAATCTTAAATATAATAACTATTTCCCTAATAATTATTCCATTTGCTGTTCCACTTGTTCATTACATATAAAGCTGACTACCTATTACTTGAAATATGTAATTATGTGAAACATAATAGAAAATAAGCCTCAAATTTGTCATTTCTAATTATCTGCAAATGTCAATGTTTCTTGAAATATTCTTCCTGTTTAAGTATAGATGTTGTAGATTCCTGGTAAATTTTAAGCCATCGTAAAGAACAGCTCAAATAACATCTCTTCCTAAAAGCTTCCTTGAGCATATCTACCCCACTAGCACAGGTAGATTTAAATACTTCTGTACCCCACTTCAGCATATTAAATGGCACCATATTTTACTATACATACTGATTTACATGCTTGTCTGTCACTTTAAGTACTTCAAGAGCAGATATCATGCCATATACATTTTGCATGTTCAACATATAGCGCGGTACCTAACGAACAGCAGAGAATGTTACATAAATGAATAGATGAATGAATGGATAAGAGAATATGTCAATCAATAAATGAATGACTACATGAATAAAAGAACAAATAAATGAATAATTAAAACAAGTAGGTTCAATAGTGTACCCAGTCAGAACTCCAGAAGTACAATAGAAAATTCCAAACCAATTAAAGAGGGCTTTTTTTTTCTTTTACTTCCAGTTTCCATTGCAGTCTTTAAATTGTTTCTGATTTAGTGGAAATGAAAAGATACTTTTCACTGAGCTAATTTTTCTATTTTAATGTTCTTTCTGACTTTAATTAAATATCTTCTATAAGCTTGTCTTTTTGCCTTCTCTCTCTCTCAGAAGTAAAGCAGTGTGTGCTCAACTCACAGGCTTCACGAAGATTTCACAGCTCTATTTTTAATGCTTGCAGTAACAGTTGAAGACATGAGTTAAGAATTTTTTGTCCTATTATTATTAATTCCAACGAACTGTTACAGAGAAATAATTGTTCTGATCAGAATTATACTAATTAATTTTACATAATCAGTGATTTGCCATCACAGAAGCTTTGTATGCTCTTACAACTTGTTGTTTTCTGCTGGATGCCAAATTTGTACCTTTGTGCTTTTACACATTCAGTAGTAGCATGGTCTACTCTAAAGACTAAGAATTTAGAGCTTTAAAAGCAAGCTGATATAAGTTAACAGGACAATTATAGTTGCTTGATTAACACTGCTGTTTAGAGGTAGTGCAGGATTTTGTTCATCAATCTTGCTTTTGTCTTATATTTTGTTTTCTTTTCTGGAAAGGTCATTTTGTGTATTCTTGGCATGGCATGAGGTATGCTGCAGTGCATGATAGACTTGGTTACATTTGCTTTTTTGTAACTGGACTTAAAAATTTGCTTTTGGTCATTTGTCTGCAACTATTTCACTTTCCTAGCCTAGAGCTTTTAAATCATCAATCATGTGGGGTGTGAGTGTGTGTGCGTGTGTGTGTGTTTGTGTGTGTCTATCAGTTGGAGAGCTAGCTTGACAGTTTTGATGGGCCATTATTGTACTTCAAATTTCATTTGTAGAAGATTTCATTCGACATTTCAGACTTATTATGCTACCTTGAAAGCTGGAGTTCCATAGGGTTCTGTCTTTGATCTCAGGTCATCATTAGTTAATGCCAATGATCCACAGCCTGCCCCTGGTGAGAATAACTCCAAACACTTGTGAAATACCGTTTCACTGTGGCTCTTTCATCAACGGTAATTATTTTGCACAGCTTGGGAATATTCTGTACATATTATAGGAACTCTTCCAATATAATTTCATGAATCATTAAGATAAATAATAATTAGAACTTTCAGTTGTGTTTGATTAAGTATAAATAATAAAATTATAATACAGTGATACTTCCTTTTCATACAAATTGGAAGTAGGAAAAGGAAACTAAGAGTTTCCTCCAACTAAGAGTTTCTGGTTTTGTTTTCTCTTTTGCTGCCACTGGAAAGAATTTCTGGCACTGCATTAAATCAAGACAGAGTGTGATTATAATTAATACTATTATTAAAAAGGTCATGTATAGGTTTACTTTGCTTTCAGCAGAGCTTCTCTAACGGGTCTACCTTAAAAAGAAAAGAATAATTAGGCAAATCTACTTTAAAAAGAAAAAGAAAAATGAGGCAAATTCTCATTTTTAACAATGCATTACAAACAGCATCTTTGTAAAAGAAATTCTGCTTTAATGTTTTGAAAAGATCAAGTGGTTCACAAAAATTATTTATACACTTAGTAATTATATAAAGCATTAAATATGTTATGCTATAGCAAGAAAATATATTTCAAATTGTAGTTTTATATTCTGGCATATAGAAATAATCGTTCCTTGATTTCCCATATTCTTTCATTCTCGAAACTCTGAAGAGCAATTTCATCTAATTAAATAGGAACAAACTGTTTGGGGCTGATAAGGAGGATAATTTCTCGGCAGTACCTGATTCAATGCTACAGCATCACTCGTTTTCTCATGGTGGTATCTTCTAGGTTTTAGAAATATCATTTTTATGCTCTCCAAATACTCTGAAATCACAACATACCTCTGTCATTTCTTTCTTATACCTTGCAAATAATTGTTATTCTATTCACCAATTTATAATGATGCTTATGATTTCCTTAATAATGCCAAATGACTTCCATCAATCACTAATTGATCACTACCTTTTATCCTGAGTAGACTAAATTATCTCTTTCAAGTTACCTTAAGCCTCAGTCAAACCTTTCTTTTGCATCTTTGGACAGAACTGCACTATCAATTTACATTTACATTTTATTTTATTTCCTTATGTATTGGCAATTGAGGTCAGGGACATTTTTCAAAGAACAAAATAAATGACAGAGAGTGGCAGTGAAAAAATAATGCATCAGAGAATTCTCTCTGCTTGGTGTCCAGACAGTAGTATTTGGCTGAGAACATTTGCAGCACAGTATACAAATGCTCACTGGCCTAAAGCATGCAGTTGTCCTGCTGCACTAGCTCTCCTGGGCTGAGAATGTGTGATAGCATTCAACATGTGCATCACAAACATATGTGTGTGTGTGCACACATGCACGTGTGTGTATACACATATATAAACAATGTACCATATTAAGAATATGCATATGTAAAATAATATTTTTATTAATAAATTTTGCAGAAACATTAAAAATCAGAGTGGTACAAATTGATGTTAATCTAGTTATGTGTCTAATACCCAAGTCTGCAGAACTCAAAGGAACTGAAATGGTAAGAAAATAGCACATCCCTTTCTCTCCTTCTGTTCTCAAATACAATTTTTTATGTGCTAATTAGCTACTAGGGGACTATAGTTCTCTTCTATTTTCTTTTGATCATGGGAACTGAGAAGATTTTCAGAAATATATTGACATTAACAGAATCCCATTATAGCAAAACAATAGATGTTACCACATGAGATTGCTTTAAAGCGATTTTTATTTCCATTGTTGTCAGAGTCATCTTTGTATGCAGCTTTAAGATATAAAAGCAGCTTTAGAAAATTTCATCAATAATGTGTATTATAGAAACTACCTGCAGGTGTCATAATGATGATGTACATTTCTGTTTCCATTAACTTCAGGGGAAATAAACAGAGTGTGATTATATGCAAAACCTACAAGAATGAGGACCTCCAAACTCAGTGTACAGAGTGATTTTCTGCTGAAACAATTGGGTATGTTATTTGTTTGCTAATATTAAACTCTAATGAAGACACGTCCTTCCATATTAGCCCAAAATTCCTATTTCAAATATTTACCTTCATGTGCATACTCTTTAACTTCTAAGCAAGATAAAATTTCTGGCTTCCCTTTACACTTTCTTTCACTTTCCTTCTGCTAACTGAACAGTTCTTCCTTGTGAGAAATTCAACTCAGGGTAGTTAGATGAGCCAGTCTCTAGCTATCAGAGAACCCCATCTCTCTGGCCATGTTGGTATAAGAGGTGTAGGGATACCAAGGCAACAGAATCCTCCCTGGAATTTCATTTGAGTGGTTGAAAAAGTGGCTTCTTTTTTTTCTTTTCACTGGGAAAGTTGGTGTAAGAATATTGGAAGCCTGAACCTAGCACTGTCTGCTACTGGCCTGACGTCTTTTCCACAACATGGGAAGAGATTGCCTGGGAAGGAAGCCAACTCTGTGGAAAGCATAAGAAATAACCAAAGAAAGTGAGAGGAATATCCTCATGACACTATTTGAATCCCTAAACCCAGCCTAAGTGAGGTTTACTCCTTGGACAACCCTCCTTCTCCAACCAGTTATATGAGGATAAATGCCCCTTTGGTCCTGTAGCTTGAGTACATTTCTGTCACTCGCAACTTGCAAATTTGTGACCAACATACCTGCACGCATGCACACACACACACACACATTTAACATTTGCCGTATTGGACATACAGGATGGCACATCTTATCTGGACAGTGTTGAAGTGAACTTTTAAAATGAAGTAAATTTTGTTGAATCGTAGCCTGAGACAATGAAGGGGTAATTTAGGGGAAGGTGAGTAACAAGATGCACTATTAACTTAAACAGTGTTTTTTTGGAAGAACCATACATTGCCACTTTTCTGTTCTATCTCAAGCCTTGATTGCCATGCTAAACAAGGTTTCAAACCAGATTCCAACCCCAGGTTTTCCTCGTTGACTCAAGTCCACTCCATAGTTGACTTAACCACACTTCCTTTCTTTTTATCACATGCTCAGCCTAACCAATAAGTGAATGGTAAAGAATCATCATATATAGCTTTCTCCCAATTTGTAAATTGACATAATACTACTCCTTAAAATTAGTTGTTTGGAATTCCCAGAGCTGTGAGTGATACCTTTGCATGCCACCTTACCCTTAGAACCCCTACCTCTAAGTTGCCTTTTTTGACCACATGCTGGAAGCTGGGTGTCGGTTACAAGCTGACTGTAAAAAACGGCAGGAAGGAGAGGGGCTTCTTCTCAGCCTTACCTTTAGGTAAACACATGGTAAAATATCCTTTGGAAAAATGTATGCCTTCTCTTCTTTAAGTAAAAGATGGTTTGATCACTTTTGTTTCAGGAAATCAAAAAAAAACCAAAACTGAATCCTCACTTAGCGGAGGGGAACAAAGAACTCAGATTCTAAGGACAAGGCAGAATCCATTAGGTATAGGGCAGAAGCTAAAAAAAAGGAGAGGACTCTGATTAAAACATAAAACCCAAAAGAGTACTTTTTAGTGTAAGTCTTTTCAGGACTTAAGTCATAACTACCAACCCTTACCATTTTGGTGCCTATTTAAAACACTTCCAACTTCCAGCACCTGTAATTCTTTGCTGAGGGCTTTCTCTGGCCGGTGGAGCCTGTTCTGCCTGTGTTCAGGGCAGGCAGCCAGAAGTTCTGGGGAATTAATGTTTCGAACCTCAGCACTCACAAGCACTGACTGACAGAGGTTGGTATGTAAATTTCCTAGCTTCCTTACATCTAAGGTGGAAACAATCTGAGCTGCATATTCTATGTACTGTTTCTCATAGCTCCTCAGAAGGATTGAATTCCAATTGATCACAGTGGTACCTTAACTGTCAATGCACCCTTTATTGTCCCTCTCACTTTCCTATCTAAATTTGCTACTTCTGTACTGTTGCTCCCTTCAATTAACTCCAAGCCAATTCCAAATCCTTGTCCCAGGGCCTGCTTCTTTGGGATCCTAAAGCAGGGCACTTACTAATGTTAATTGTTATCCTAGTCCCCATCTCATTCATGGCCAATTAAAGACGGCCACAAAATCTTTGACACTCCTGCCATGGACAGGTGGGATCTAAGGCTCTTCTGAACCTGGGCCAAATAATTCATAATTATTATTCTATCCAAACAATATTTGTTTACATAAGGCACTATTATTTCTTGTTTCTTTTTTCACTACTTCTATTTATATCTTAACCCTGCTTTCTGGACACTCAATTTCATTCTTCCTGTAGCATAATAACATTTAGTATATATTTTGTTAAGGATTTGTTTGCACTCACAACTCATGCTGTTTGTTTTTCTAGAATATACTTTATTTCACTACCATTTCCTTAATAAATGTTTATCTGGATATAAAATTTGGCTAAATGACTAGATATAAAATTTTAAGTTGCTAGTTATATTTTCTCAGTGTTTTAATTCTTCTTCACTGTCATCTGTTTCTATTGTTGGTGTTAGCAAATGTGCTAAGTTTCATTTTTTGTAAGTAATATTTTATGTGATTGCTTTTAAACATACTTTTGCTTGAATGTTCTGTATTTGATTAAAGTGTGTCTAGATGCAGAGTTCTTTTTATTCATTCTGTTTAGGATGTGCCATGATTCATGAACATAAGAAATCAAGAATTTCTTCACTCCAGAAAATTTGCAGGAATTATGTTTTCCATGTTGTATCTTTCCTACTCTCTGTATTCACTCTTTATTTTCAATTAGAAAAACACTGGTCTATCTCATCCATTCTTCCATTTCTCCTAAGACTGCTTTCATTATATTTTACACTTTAATTCTCTGTGCTTCATTCTGAATAATTTGTTCAGCTCCTGTTTCCAGTTTGCTCCTTTCAATAGATATACTCAATTTTCTATTTAACCATTCTATTAATGTTTCCATCCTTACATTTTTCACTGCTATAACTTCTTGTTAGTTTATTTTTTGTTCTGATTTTTCACAGCTCTTGTTTCTTAGTTGTGTTTTCAGTCTCTTATTTTTAAGACATTTATACATTTATAATTTCATTATCTGATAATTCTGTGTTTAATTGTGCTGTTTGTTGTCTCTGCTGATTATTTATTATAATTTACATTTAATATATGCATATAATATTGCATTTGCAGTTGTGAATTAATCTACAGGAGCGTTTTCCTGTAAGAACCCCATGCAGCCTGGATTGTGAGTGCTTTGTTTTTAGAAAGCATTTGCATTTGCTTCTTTCAGTGATAGGGCACTAATAATAACAGATAATTAATTTTTTGGCCTTATATGTTCTTGACCTGTCTGGCAGTATAAATGAAAACCTCAACATTTTATTTGGTTACAGACACATACAAGTTTTTGTTGTTTTCCTGAGAGCCAAGGAATAGGTAAGAATGTTCAAGCATTCTAGCTTTATGCAGTGTCACCTAACTCTCTAGCTAGACAAACCCTAATGCTCTGTCTTTGTGGGAATGTGGAAAACCAAGCATCTTGTTGACCTACATCAACAAAAACACCCCCATGCTTTAGTGCCCACTTTTCATGCATATCACAGCTTTCTCTTTGTGGCTTCTTGGCATTTTCCTTACTCTTGTTAATTAAAATATGTATTTAAAAGTATTCATTGTATGTTAGCCAATGTTTCTAGATGTTTTCAAGTGGAAAGGATTTTGTATCTTCTATGAAGTGGAACCATAGGAAATTTCTATTTTCTTTAACAGTCCAAAACAGTTCAACATCATTGACTTCATATAGTTCAACCTAATAATTATGGTTTTTTTTTTTTTTTTTTTTTTGAGGCGGCGTCTTGCTTTGTCGCCCAGGCTGGAGTGCAGTGGCGTGACCTTGGCGCGATCTCCATTCACTGCAAGCTCCGCCTCCCAGGTTCACACCATTCTCCTGTCTCAGCCTCCCGAGTAGCTGGGACTACAGGCCCCCACCACCACGCCCAACTAATTTTTTTTTTTTTTTTGTATTTTTAGTAGAGACGGGGTTTCACTGTGTTAGCCAGGATGGTCTCGATCTCCTGACCTCGTGATCCGCCCGCCTCGGCCTCCCACAATGCTGGGATTACAGGCATCAGCCACTGCACCCGGCATAATTATCTAAATTTCTGAAAATGAATATCTCCATAGTCTTTCATTCTGTTAAATAAATGGCATTTACTGGAAATAGCAGCTAGTTTTTGGTGGTTTTGTCAAACAGTTACCTGATATTTGGATAGAATTTATGGACTATTTCTGAACAAGGACTATTTTCATGTTACATCAGATTCTCAGTTGAAAAATATCACAATCAAATCTTCAGGGTTGAATGATTTAATTTTGAGAGTGTCAAATAAACCCCCAAATAATTCTTAAGTTGCATTTAGTTAGGTATATGTGATTTAACATACATTTTAAAACATGTTGGTTTCTTTCATCAACAAGTGAAGAAAATACATGTTGTGAGGGAACTAAACTCTGAGTAAGCTAACCATTTGCATCATACTTTAAGAAACCTTTATATTTATCCTGAATGTTTAAATTTGACATATGTTGGTCCATCAAGTGATAGATTCTGGCTACCCCAGAAAGAGCAAATTTACTAAATTTATCATTGAGATAAATGTGTAAGATATATGAAATTTCAAAAATGGTCTTTATAATCATTTTCATTGTCATGAATAAGTGATTTTTGTTTGTTTCCTAATTGCATTTCAAAATCATTACACCTTTTACGTTCTCAGTACTGCAGGATAGAAAAGCAAATTCATGACTCAATATGCATTTTTTGAGAGCACACTAAAAGAATGCAGAAAACATGACCATAATTTGGTCTCCTTTACAATTTTCTCTGTTTCATTCAACAGTGAATTAAAATCAGCCAGCATATTTTTGAGTCATAAATATGTGGAGAATTAAAAAGTGCACATACTGGCATTGCATTATAGCCACATCCATTCAGTTCATAAAATAGCCCTTAATTAAATAGAAAACTCTTCACATATATCATGGTGTTTCAGTAATTAAAAAAATATGATAAGAATTTCTGTCTTGTACACATACCATACATAAGGCAAGTTGGTTTACACTTTACATATCAGTGTTTCCTCCACAGATAAGCTACATAAATGACGGCATATTGGATGGTGACAGCGCCTCTAGAGTGTGTACTTCTGATATGCAAAGACATACCATGTCAGTTTACAACTGTATTGTATTTTGTTCTGTTTTCCCTTATGATGATTCACTGGCTGTGAAGCTTTTAAAAAATTGTGTGACTGACCAGCAGCAGTGGCTCACATCTGTAATCCCAGCACTTTGGGAGGCCGAGGTAGGTGGATAACGAGGTCAAGAGATTGAGATCATTGTGGCCAACATGATAAAACCCATCTCTACTAAAAATACAAAAATTAGCTGGGCGTGGTGGTGCGCACCTGTAGACCCAGCTACTCAGGAGGCTGAGGCAGGAGAATCGCTTGAACCTAGGAGGTGGAGGCTACAGTAAGCCGAGGTCACGCCACTGCACTCCAACCTGGGCAGCAGAGTGAGACTCTGTCTCAAAAAAAAAAAAGTATGACTTTTATTATAAAATGAAAATTTGAAATGGTATAACTTTGACGGCTAAGTTTTGCTTTCTTCTCACCTATTTGAACAAAATTAACTAATTTCATACAGAAAATGATAATTTTTATCATGTTCAGGTAAAACTCAGTTACCACAGAGGTCATTACACTTTGTTTGTTTTAAATTGGCACATAAACTGTGAAGCCTCCTTGTAACTATTTGCCAAATGTTCATAACAGTTTAGGCGTTGCAACTCAGCATAAATGATTACCAGTTTAATAAATCTAAAACACCCTTCTTCGAAATTTCCATTTGCAATTTTCTTTTGCTGCTGCCTTTATGAAATCATTACATGCTTAGAGATTTTGTTCTAAGAACAAACAAATTCACATTCTACATTCTACCACAGACCTAATCACTGCTTATATTTATTGCTTTATGTTTTATAGTAGTTATGATCATATTTTATCACTATCTTCATGCTTCAGTGAGTGACTTTTAAGCTATTGATCCTTTTCTGTGAATTGGGGATACAATAAAGCAATATCCCAGTTACAATAAAAATGCAAATTTAGAAAATTTAATTAATAAAATTCAATTTATATGAAAATATCTTAGTCAAGACAAATTAGTCCCTGTTAAATGAATGCTAGCCTAGACCAACTGTCCCACACAGTACTTGTAGTCCATTATTAAAAACTTAATAATAATTATGGATGTAATAGAATTTCTGTGAAAATCGTTAATCTCAAATTTTAAATGTATGAAATATATGTGAACCAAAGGTTTCATCTTTTCATATTCATAGAAAATAGTCAAATCCCTGTTGGATAATTGATAGTCTGCCAGAAACTACACTTTTAAGAAAATGATTCCAGACAATGGAGAGCCATTCTGCAGAGGAGAGACATAATTTTCATAAGCAAAAAGTAGTCCACAGCTTATTTAAAAGGCTCAGATGATAAATAATAGGGCATGAATTAGGGCAGAGGAAATGGTTATGCAGAAAGAGGTAATGCAAAGGAAACAGGAAACGATAAGCAGAAATTTAATGCAGAGCCATTTTTTTGGTATAAAAATTTTCAGTCTCCATTTTACACCTATAGCTTTTCTTTACCCGTTCTAATTAAGCATCTATGGCCATCAGCCTTCTGAAACAGGAAAGTACATCATGTCTATGCACCCCAATACAATGATCAGAGATCTGCTCCAATCCACTTCACTAGATTTATTAACAGCATTGGACTCACATGAAACACTATCCTCTTGGTTTTCATGATATGACACTTCCCTCTTCCCTATGCCTAGAACATTCAGCTGAGCCCCCTGATTCAAAGAGTCAACTACTTACTTAGCATTACCATTTTCATTTCTAATAACTATCTATAAAGTGAACTCTTAATTAATACCCATATCCTTTGCTTTCCTAGTTTTCCTCATTTCAGTAAAACTCACCAATGCTGACCCCATGACACAAGTCATTCTTCATCACCTGCCTATCATTAAAGCATGTCAACTCCAGCTCCAAAACATATCCAAAATTCATCTCCAATGTGACCACTCTAAGCCTAGCCACCATCAACTATCAACTAGGCTGCTTCAAAAGCCTCTTAGCTGCTTTGTTAGCTTGTAGTCCATTCTTTACATCAGAAGCCAGAGTTATCTTTTAGAAACATGAAGGAGATCATGCTACCTCTTTACCTAGAACTCTTCTAAACAAGGAATAAAAGATTTTACATGAATTCAGCCAAGTCTACAACTCAACTTCTTTTACTAACATACCCCCAGCTTGCTAGGCTTTTGTCACACTTACTCTCCTTTTGCCCCAACAAGACAAAAAATCTGGTTCCACCTTAGGGGCTTTTCACTTTGTATTCTCTCCCTAGAATACTCTTGCCTCTGATCTTCATAAGCCTGCCTTTTTGGAACCCTTTGGATCTTCGCTATGAAGTCATCTACTTAATGAAATGTTTTCTGATTAACAAAATTATCATGGCAGTAACTCTCAAATATATTTACCCATCTTAATTTCTTCACAGTGACTTTAATTATCCAAAATTAGCTTCATATATATATATAAATAAAATTTATTAGTTCGTTGTCTGTCTTTTTCCTGCTAGAATGAATGCTGCATGAGTCTAGGAACTTTTTGTTATGTGTTATTACACTGCCAGAACCCAGAAGAGCACCCATCAAAAAGAAAACATTTAAATATTTGTGGCATAGATAGTAAGTTAACAAATGGATAATTTGGTAATCAAAACAATATGAAATATAAGGAGTAACAAAGAATTAACAATGACTGAAGCTGAGAGTCTAAATGACTAAGTAAATACTGATGTCATTAATGTGAATACAAAACCCAGATAGAGGATGGAGTTTAGAAGAGACATCTTGAATGGGCCAAACAGCAGGTACCAGAATATCCACATAGTGGTTTTCAGTAGTTTGAGGCTCAGTGGAGAGACTGGGACAAGATACACAGCACTGGATTCATTTGAATGCAGATAATAGTTATAACTGAAGTAGTTGCATTCACTAAAATAAACCATATGGAAGAGAATGACAAGCTCTGAATATCAAAGAATGAAAAACATTAACAATCAGAAAAAAAGGAGAGAAACCTAAGCGTAGAAAAGCAGATTCAAATTCACGTAAGCCATGGATGAGGTGAGGAGACTCTTACATAGGCAGCAAATAATCAACATCGCCAACCATGAAAAGTGTTCAGTAAATGCTGAGTAGGATGGAACTGAGGAATTTGAACTAGACTAATATAGTGATATCCGAAGTCAGTTTGTAAATATGAGGAGTGAGAGCAAGATGAAGTACTAAAGACAGTGAACTACTCTTCCAAAGTATGGCACTAGATGGTAGAAAAACTATGTAATGCCAATTTGAATATCTTTTTTAAGATAAAAGAAACAAACGAGTCAAGAAAAAATGGTCTTAGAAGTGGGAGGATTAAAGATGAAAGTCAGAGGGATGTTAAGATGTAACCGAGAGGGCAGGCAAAATGAGTGTCAGTATCGTGACTGGGGAGTGAGTGAAGCCACACTCTGAAACCAGTAATGGCATTTATCACCTAAACATCATGGAGGTAATGTGGGTAGATAAATAACATGTCTCATGGACTGAAGCTCTATGAAGATCATGTTAAATAAGAACTTTCAGCAGGACAGCATAAGTGTTATCACTAACAAATTGTCCTTGACAGTTTCACTACTTACATAATCATTGTGAATTCTCTTTTGAGTTCTGCTGCAAATACTTGCTCACCCATCCTAAACAGCCTTATTTCCCACATCCTCTTTAATTCAAAAGGAAAAAGTATGGCTAACAAATAGTTACATAAGAAAATATTTTGGAGCACATTTTTAACCTAGTTTTACTTAAATAATAATAGGATGACAGCATGCCCAAGACAGACCCAGTGTAAATATCAATTGCACCTCTTTTTCGCCTTAAGTGTACTCCAATTTTAGATGACAAATATTATGATTTATAGTATCCTAAAAAAATAATATTATAATATGTAATATTTTAACAAGAACTTATGGTATAGCTAAAATACAAGATCACATTTCAACAATACTTAGTGATTCACAACCAAAAACAAAATGAGTAACAGAATTTATCCAAGTTTGTGACTTTTCAGGTTGTCATGGATAAAATAATATCCACATGTAGTGAACAGAATGTGCCAGGGACTGTTCTACACTGTTAATGTGTGTGGTTTCGTTTACTCTTCACACTAAGCCTAAAAGAGAGGTCTTTTATAATTCCCACCAAGCAAGACTGGGAAATTAACTAACCTGACTAAGGTAATAGCAAACGATGGACCTTATAACCAAAAGAAGACAATTTGTGGAATTTTAAGGTATTGGTGAGTGCAGAAGTAAAATGATTGGGATGTAGTTTAGGAGATAAATGAAGCCAGTGGGAGACTCTGTATTAGGATAATCAAAAAAAGACAAGAGTTGAACATAGGGCAAAACATACGTTCAATAGAAATAAGAGGCTAACTGAGCAGGCAGTTAAAAGGCTGTGGTCAAAGAGGGATTTGAAAATTTGAGGCCATGTCCATAAAACCACATTAAATTTTGACAGACCTGAGGAATAACCAAGCTTGTGAGTGCCTGGACCACATTGGTAAAGCAGAGGAAAGTTTTGGAAATTAATGAAGTCAAGAAATTATAAACCAGGAAGTTAATCTGGAAAATATTGATTCCTAAAAATAATACAGAAGTATTAACATATCACAGAGAGAAGTAGAAAAGAAGAAATGATGCTTTTATGAAACAAACTTTAGGCAAATCTTTATTTCCATATTTCTTTTTAAACACACACATACATGTGCACACACATACAGGCACTTAGTCATATTAAAATTTTTTGAATCTAACAACAGGTATTAAAGAGAAAAATTTAGAAATGTAAAACTGGATGTTTAGCAAATGCATCTTTTCTTGATGATACTACATAAATATTAATATGCTAAGAATAACTTTGTCTAATTACCAATTAGAATGTTTTGAATATAGTTTGAACTTATCAATACAAAAATAGATTAACATTTCCATTAGTTCAAAACTAATTTCCCATAATGGTCAATGTACTCTGGTGTATAAAATCTATATGATCTCTCAAATAAAAGATTCAGTCGCCACTGACCTAATTTTGTAAGGAGAGAGAATTTGCTTTGCTTTTATTCAAAAACTGTTTATTTCTTTCAGATGTCCCTTGATAGAAACAGATTTCATAACTTAAAAAGGAAACTCATTTAATCAACTGATATTGTTCATCCCTTTGTTTGTTCCAATAATTGCTACATTTTTAACACCAAAGGAAAAATTACTGAGCTTGTCCTTAAAAGACTTTCTTTTTCTCATATTAAAACAGGAAAGATTATACTTATGCATAAGTTGAAATAGTGATAAACTCCTGCCACCATTATACAGCAGCCTCATGAAGAAGCAGCACTTGTGGTACTTAGACAGTTTAGAAAAGTAAATTTATCAATGTTCATTTCACCCCCCTCAAAAACAAACAAGCAACACCATTATTTGTTAATAGTAAAGGGCTGTTGAGGAATAAATTTCATTGGATATGAACTCATTTTTCCAGCTCTTCCCATTAGAGTCATCAATTTGGATCAATTTTTAGTAGAATATACTAAACTTTAGTACAATAGGCTAAACTGACTTGCACTGTTTAGCCTATCAAAATTAATTCCTTTTGCATTTAAAATTTTAAAGGCTATTTAGTTGTGTTTCAGAAATCAAAGAACTTAACTTTTACAATTTAGATTTATTGATTAAAAACTAAAGTTGGTTAAGAAGAATCTGAAAATAAACAGAAAATTCTGAAAGTTTAGTGTTAAGATTCAGTAAATGTCATTGAATAACCTTATGCATTCCTAACCCTTCTGTCCTTAAGTGTCTCTACTTCTACTAGTGGAAAAATTTCCTTATTTGCATTGCCTTTTTTTTTTTTTGGTTCTAGACAGCAAAACTCTCTAGAAACTGTCAGTTTCCTATAGTTTGGGGGACACCCTGAAATACTATAGACATTTTTTTTTAACCTCACTTGAAGTTTCAAGATTGCTTTTTGGAAAATTCCAAAATACCTATCACATTTCATATTGAAAGCTATTTACAAAATGGTAGTGCATTTTCCCAGCATCCTTCAGAGGTCACTAAACGCATTTTCATTTTCACTTTTAAACTGTGTCTACATTATGACAAGGCAATCCAATGAAAAGTGAAAAACACACTCAAAAGAATGTTTTCTTTAAACCATAGCAAACACTTTCATTAGAGGGTTTTTCTATCCACCTTTAGTTTTGAAAATATTTATTTCTGGAAATATTAAGCCCTCTTAATCTTTAAGTGATTAATTTTAAGAGTACATTTAAAAACACAGCAAAAACTTAATTTGCAGAATCTTCTATTTTATTCATTTCAAAGTATCTTTCCATAGCACCAGTCAATGTCCAAGTCCAATTCTAACTCCAATGGGAAACCTTCAAAATATAGACTAAATCAGTCCCTTTAACAATAAATATCATTTTCATTATTCTTCATTCTGCTTGCATTTATATCTCTTTCCACTAGCATAAGCTTAAGTATCCCAATGCATGCATTAATATAGAATCAGTCTGAAAAACTATTTTTCTGAGAGTGTTGAAATATTTTAAGGTTATAAACAATACATTCTTAATTATCCATACATCAAATATTCCAGTGTATTAAAGAGTTTTATCTACCACCTACATGAACAGATGCTTTCATCGTTGTATTAAATTGTGCCTTTCTTAGTGACTATAACCAGTCCAGGGTAAGATTATCTCTGTTCTTTGGAAGCACAATATTACAGTAGTTCAGCATATAAACTTTAGTCCCAGGTTGCCCAGGTGAGTCTAGAATCTGACAATCAATATCTATGTGTCCTTGGGTAGGTTATATAACCTCTATTCTTTTCTGTATCTTCATTTATTGGAGATAGTAATAGAACATACCCTGTCAGGTTAGTTTGAGGATTAAAGGAGATAATGTACACATTTTTCTTATTAGGAACCAGAGTTTCCAACACAAAATCGGAGCTCAGGCTTAATAAATCTTATCTGGTTGTGTGTAAATACAAAGATATTCAAACCTGGTTCACACTTGAGAACAGGTTGTATTCAAAAGTGGCTTCATATCTGAGTTCACTCTAATTCTCTTTAAATGAGAGATCCACAATAGTTTGATAATAAGCTTTGTTAATTAAAATGGGCTCAACATTAGAAAATCTATTTAGTAGAAAGTAGAAGTATAAACTGTTTCTGTACATTCTCTCTGTCATTTAAAACCTCAGTACAAATCCATTCCTTGAATGTTACGTAGACAACGTCTTGATAAGTGTCGTATACACCGTTTGGGTTGCTATAACAAAATACCATTGGCTGGTGGCTTAAGCAACAAATATTTAATCCTCAGAGTACTGGAAGCTGAGAAGTCCAAAATCAAAGTATGGGTAGATTCAGTGTCTGGTTAGGGCCACTTCCTGGTTCATACACAGACAACTCCTCATTGTATATTCACATGGCAGAAACCAGAGAGACACAAATTATCTATGTACTTTCATAAAGGCACTAATTTCATTAATAAGGGTTCTGCTCTCATGACTTAATCTCATCTAATCCTAACTACCTTCCAAAGGCCCCACCCCTAAATACCATCATATTGAGGGATAGGGTTTCAGCTTACAAATGGGGGGAGCACAAACATTCAGTCCACAACAATAGGTCCACAGAGTTACTTTTGCATTTTAGCTTATTAATCTCAACCACTTCAAATATTAACAATTTCAACCATTCTGTATGCTATGAAATCAGAATCTCAATCTAAAGAAGCTTCCTCATTCAATATCAAGTTGTAAAAAACAATTATTTCAGTAGGGGAGGTTAAATGAGACAGAATCAGGTCAACACAACAGCAATGTTAACCTTTTATCAGTTTTAGAGATAGAGTTGAGGTTGTTTTATACTATTTTTATAGATATAAATGCATGTTTATAAAATGTACACATCACTGAAAATATCCAACAATTTTATATCCAACATTTGCTTGAAAGCACACTTTTTATTATATATTCTTATCAATATACTAGTACAATGTACATAAAGAATGAAGGCACACACAGTTTTCTTCCCATTACTCCTACCTAGTTCTGAATGCTATAGAATGACATCCATTTGCTCCCAACCAATAGTACAAGTTGTGTTCACTAAATATATTGATTTACTTCATTATAGTAGGCAGAATTCTAAGATGACCTATTGTTACACCCTGAATAATTATCTCTTCATGAATATATGTAGGACCTGTTACTTGCTTCTAACTAATAGCATATGAAATAGGCCTGATGATTAGGTTATGATATATTTATAAGACTCTACCTTGCTAGCACACAAGAGTGACCCTCCTGCTAGCCTTGAAGAGGTAAACTGCTATATGAACTGCCCATGGAGAGGGCCAAGTGGCAAGAGAGTGCAGGCCTGAGAACAGCCTTCAGCAAAAGCCAGAAAGAAACCAGGTTTCTCAGTCACATAACTATAAGGAACTGAATTCTGCCAACAACAGAAATGAGCTTGGAAATAGATTTTTCCAAGTCAAGACTTCAGATGAGCACACAGCCCTGACCAACAACTTTTCATAGCTTTGTGAGAGCCTGAATATAGAACTCAGGTAAGCCATGCCCAGAATTGTGTACTACAGAAACTTTGTGAATAAGTGTATATTGTTTTAAGCCACTAATTTTGTGGTAATTCATTAACAGCAACAGAAAATTAATAAATTCATTGTTCTAACTCACAGTTTGAAAAATCAGGAAATAACAAGAGGGAGTCATCATTTTTACAATTGCCCCAAACGTCCATAGTTGCTTTCCTCTCAAGTCTGGCTAGATTTCTATCAAATCTGGTAGTTTATAATCTCCTTTCTTTATCTCCAGATATCCTTTGGTAAGAGTGTGCACAGTGACTTTTTAAAAAGAAAACAATGTATTATTCTATGTCCCAATTTTCTGCTACCAATCATTTTGCCCATCTCACTGAGCTGTACTAAATTTTACATATAGCAGTTGGGGAGTAATTTAAATAACTCAAAATATTTTAAATAAGAAGGAGATTGATTATGTCAAATGACAGTAAGCTTATCAGTAGAAAAGCCTTTAGGCCCTGAAAACTAAAACTCCAGCTCAGCTTCTCTGTAATTCTTATAACAATTTCTTTTATCAGTTGGTTTTATCCTACAGCAGATTCAGGAACCACATCTAGACACGACATGTTTGGCATTCAAAGAGGCATTGTTCTTTTCATTTTTTCTCCTTTCTATCTCTCCAAAAAATAACTTCCTCAGAAAGCCCCCAGCAGACTTATTCATGTCTCATTGGCCAGAATTAAGTATTGGTCACATCTCTCTCTTAAAATGATCATTGATTGACAAGGCTTAACCAAATCCTTACCCAGAGATAGGGTTGCCTTCCCTGAAGATTAGATAATGTGATCAAAATAGAATTTCATCAGTGGGAACATAGAAATAAGAAAGTAGCTTAGGGAGAGATACTTGAAGAAGTTATACCTGTGTGGATATTAAAGGTCAAGTAAGCAACAGTCTGGCAAAAATTGGCAGGAGAAACTGAAAGTAAAGTTAGGTGCATGAAAGATGATCAGGCCCAGATTAGGATAACTGAGTTTGGATGAAGGGAGTATGAGGAAAGGGAAATGATTTGTGAAGTATTTTGGTGGTAAAATTAGGAAGTTTGAAAAATCTATTATAAAATATTCAACTCCCCCAAACACTGCACAAACCAACTTTCTGCAACCGGTTCACTTACAAAATTTAATTACTTCCAAAGATAATCTGTGAAATCTCAGAAATACACATTATTCATGTTAAAGGTCACAAATGAGTTAATTTCTTCTAACTGATCTGAATATTTCAGACTTGAGAGCAACTAAAAAGTGACCAGTACACTAATTCAAATACCAGAGATAATTGATTCAAAATACAAGAGTCACTTAAGCATGAACAGCCTTCATTTCAAGATAGAAAACCAAAAGCAGCAACTATTAAAGCAAATTGTCCTCTTACAAAAGACCCCTTATATAATTTTAAGTTATCTATTCCTTTAGAAAAAAATCTTCAACTGGCACTGGAAAAAGATTCATGTCATTTAAATATCTAGCATAAGGCTTTAAACTGTTGTGCATGTGAATAATTTTGTAAAGTTCAAAATAATTATATATGACTCCCCATAATTAAAATAAAATAGTTAAATTTAAAAAAGACAATTAAAGCTGGAGTAAAATGATCTGTGTTAAAATCGTAAAATCATCATTGCTCTAATTATTAGCACAACCCATTTTTAATCTATGACATTTACAAAGCAAGAGATTTTACTTATCTAGTCTTATTAGCATAATAATCATTGCACTTTACATGGCTTTAACAATAAATTCTTTCCTTATATTTAAGTTTTGCCCAGACAAACAGATTAAATACGTATTGAACTGAAAGGTTAAAGCCCGTTCATTAATTCTGTTATTGTTTTTCATAAGCCAAATTCTTCATTTGGGTACCTCTTGACTTTGTAGCATTGATTCTAATCATTTTCTAGTAATGAGCCCCAGCCTGACATGAGATAATGCCTTTGGGCAATTTTACTTGTAAGAAACCTCAACCCTTAACCCCTTTCGTTTCCTTTGCGTAATCACTTGCATAGATCTTCCTACATTTGGGATTTGTGTGTGTGTGTGTGTGCGCGTTTGCATTGAATTTCAATTTTATTATATTGAAACTAATTCCTTCTTGATTTTCTTTTGCTCAACATTTTATTTTGTGTCTCCATTCCTATGCCTGCTGCCCTTGAGGTTTTTTCCCAGTGATTGGCCTTCTTTTTTTTTTTTTTTAGACAGAGTCTCGCTCTGTCGCCCAGGCTGGAGTGCAGTGGCGCTACCACGGCTCACTGCAAGCTCCTCCTCCCGGGTTCACACCATTCTCCTGCCTCAGCCTCCCAAGTAGCTGGGACTACAGGGGCCTGCCACCACGCCCTGCTAATTTTTTGTATTAGTAGAGACGGGGTTTCACCGTGTGAGCCAGGATGGTGTCGATCTTCTTGTGATCCGCCCGCCTCGGCCTCCCCAAAGTGCTGGGATTACAAGCGTGAGCCACCGCGCCTGGCTCCCAGTGACTGGCCTTCTTGCCTGCGCTTGTTTGGTCCCTACTTAGAAGAGACACTTAATGATTTTGATGGACTTCCTGATGTGCATGAGCAAACGACTATTCTATTCTTTTTTTTTTTTTACACCATTGTATTCATGATTTGGTATAACCATGGCACTAAAATACAACTGGGAAAGGAGTATGAACCCTTTCTTTTACTGTACACATTCTGTATATTAGGGGTCCCCAACGGACCTGGGCCTTACAGCAGGCGGGGAGTGATGGGTGAGCAAGCAAAGCTTCATCTGTGTTTACAGCTGCTGCCCATCACTGGCATTATTGCCTGAGCTCTGCCTTTTGTCAGATCACATGAGGCATGAGATTCTCATAGAAGAGGGAACCCTTTTGTGAACTGTGCATGCAAGGGATCTAGGTTGTTGCTCCTTATGAGAATCTAATGCCTGATAAACTGTTACTGTCTCCCATCACTCCCAGATGGGACCGTCTAGTTGCAGAAAAACAAGCTCAGTGCTCCCACTGATTCTACATTATGGCAAGTTGTATAATTATTTCATTATATATTACAATGTAATAATAACAGAAATAAAGTGCACAATAAATGTAATGTGCTTGAATCATCCCAAAACTATTCCCCACCACGGCCCCAGCCTCGTCCATTGAAAAATCGTCTTCCACAAAACCGGTCGCTGGAGCCATTGGGGATCACGGCTCTACATTATATTTTCAATTATTATACACAATTTCACTGAAAGAGCTATTACAATGCAATGTAAGGATTCTCCGACTGCACATTATATGGGGATTGGTGCCACATAGTCATCAGTCTCCCTTGAATGTGCACTGGGCTTCTTTTCTTAGAGTCACCCTACTTCAAGTTCATTCTTTCTGTAACTATTCTTTAAAAAACAGAATCCTTCTCATTGGTTCTACCTGTTTTCCCAAGAATTGATTTTTCCCCCAAGAATTAATTTTCTTCATCTCAAACAAAGAATATATAATACTTATCTCTTCCAAACTAAATTCAATTTGATTTGTTACTCCTTTCTTCAGTGATGATTTTAGTAACACAGCACTCTCTTCAGACTTCTTTGAGACTTTCCTTTCCTTCAGACTGGGTTCATTTCCTCAGACCTAGAGTCACATGATTCCAACTGGTTTCATTGCCCATTGATTTTTCTGCTGTTGGTCCAGTATTAATCACATCAACCTTATCACTATCCATATTTGCTCCACACATAGTTTCAAAAAAATATATATATCTATGTATATATATATATATATATATATATATATCTACAATGAGCTGAAACTCTGTGTATTTTAATGTCTGTTTAGAAAACAATGTTAAGTGGTCATATTTTAATATTAACCTAAATTCTATTTGAAATTCTTCATTGATTTTCCATTGAATTTAGAATAAAATGGAAACTTCATCATGGCCTACAGGCCCTGTGACACTTGGCCTCTATTTTCCATCTCCTTTATTTCTTAACACTGATCCTTCCCCCTGTAATGCAGCCTGGAAAGGTCTTATAAGTCATTTAGTGTCTCTCTGCCTCCCCTAGGGTGTTTTCCTCAGATGTTTGCTCATCTCTTTCTGATGTACTTATCTCTTTCAGCTTAAATATCACCTCCCTAGAGAACTTTTCTTGACCACCCTATCTAAAAGACAACCACATGTATTGCCTAACACATCACCCTTGTATTTGCCTTGCATAATTTATAATTGCTTTGCATATTTGTTTGCTTATTTACTGTCATAGAATGGAATGTAAGCTGCCTGAAAGTAGAGACTACCATTGCTTTTTTCACTACTGTATTATTGGCATTTGGCATAACAGCTGGTCTACAGCAGAAACTTATTAAATGTATCCTAAATAAATGGACAAACAGATGCATGTGTATAAACCATGTCAATGCAAAGAATTCACTTCTATTTGCAAGCTGATGTATGTTAAATCTCATTCCCCCAAAATAAGTAATATAGAATTCTTGAAGAAGTAAAAATTTTTCAAAATATGCTTGGAATTAGTAGATATTTCATCCAACTGACAACTTTAAATGGCTTATGTTTCATAGGCTAAAATTTCTAAATTTCCAAATATTCCAAAATATTGCACTTCTTCTTTTCAATGTTTCTTTTAGGCCTAGATTAAATGGAGGGATTAGAAATCAAAGTACCTTGTATTTCCAGGCAATTGAATAAGGCAGTTTTATAGACTGTAAACTCCTTCATGAGACTATGAGCTCCTTGAGGGCATGTCTAACCAAATCTCTGAAACACTATTAATGCCTATAAAATGTTCCCTTGTGAATTCACAGCAACAGTTTACAAATGGTGATGATAAATAGTTTTACAAATTCACTTTGTGGTCTAAACTATTTACAAATGTTAGAATTTACAAAATAATGGTGGATTTTTAATTTTTCAGACTCAAAAAAATGAAATCCATATTAAACACACATTTGCTCAGCATTTCAGGAATATTAAGTGCTGAGGCACTGTCACGTACGTGCTCCACAAGGCATAGTCATGCTGTTGGCTCAGAGGAAACATCTTAAAGCAGCAATGTGTAATGCATTAAATGGCCTGATTATGTCTTAAGGGAAGACTCACCTATAGATTTCACTTAATGGTTAGAAATGATTCAGGAAACCTGAGGAAATTGCCTACAAAGAGGCAAATATAACGAGAGACTCTGGGCATCTTTCATATGATATGAGGAGTATTAAATGAGGAAAAAAGAAAAACCTAACACTTAAGAGCAGGTACTGGGTAATGTTTTACATATCTTTGTTAGAGTAAATATCTTGGAAGCTTAATTTAGAATCAATACACTCTTTGGACTTTGATTTAGAAAGATTCAGAAATGTCAAACCCCTTTCCCATATAACTTTTATAAAGTTATATAAAAGTTTACATTAAACCTTTAAGTTAGTATTCTGTACATTTTGTCTTAAGTGACATTTTGGTGAATTTTCAAGAGGTAGACATTGGGAGACTATTCCCTGAGGTATTAATGGAAGAATGCTCCTTGAGAGTTGAAGTCCCATGATATTTGAATAGAAGACATCTCTCAAAGTAATTTTTATTAAAACAGGCTGAGAAACGCATACCCAATCATACTTAGGCAACAATGCCCTAATAAAATCAGAAACTTTTATCCAGAATGGTTTGTCAGGTGCAAAAGGCAGATCAGAGTACTAAAAGCCATCATGAAATAGCCTGGAAAAGTCCTATAAAGGAGGACTACAGCCCTCAGATGAATGTATCATCCATCTAAGGGGAAAAAGGGGAACATTGATTCATCAGTCTCTTTTCCTCATTGGTCAGTTATTCATCCCCAAAAGTGTTAATGCCTCTGAAGTTGCAAGTTTCACAAGTGCAGAGACTGAGAGGCACAAATCTAAGACTAGGTCAAACCTGCATGAACCTGTTGGAGCCCACACAGAACTGGTCACTGCAATGGTGTCTTATGTATCGTTATCTATCCATATAAGAGATAGATGAGGCCAAGAGGACCTGCAGCAGTAAAAAAAACGGTAACCAATACACGTCCCAAGCAAACTATGGATTTTATCAGCTTGGATTATGAAAAGATTTCCCTCTATATATGTATTTATGTACACATGTGTGTGTCTGTATGCACTAACGATGCTACACTATGAAAAACATTGCTTTTTCTTGTAACTTTGGTAAGAACATTATGCTAGTCAACTTTTTCAATCAAGAAATAAGAGTACTTCTCACAGGTGGACACAATTTCAATGACAGCCAAATGCCATCCAATTCAACCCTCCCCTACCACACACGCATACATACATATACACACAAGAGAGCTGTCAGTTGAAATCAAACATTATGGATTTCATTCTGAAATGAATATGTATTGCTATAGAGTGTTTTATTTGCATAGTCTCATTCTTCCACACTTTCAATCTAAAAACAATAAGGACCTTGAGGATTTACAGTAACAATAAAAAATTACTCCACATTTTAATGGAAACTTAAGATTACATGTCTTAGACCAATGGAGCTGCTGTAACAAAATACCATAAAGTGGGTAGTTTATAAAGAACAAAAATTTATTTCTCACAAATTTGGAGAATGAGAAGTCCAATATCAAGGCACTAGCAGGTTCTGTGCTTGGTAACGGTCTGCTTTCTGGTTTGTAGATGGCAACTGCTCAATGTGCACTCACATGGAGGAAGAGGCAAGGCAGCTCTCTGGGGCCTCTTTTCATAAGGGCACCAATCCCATTAATGAAGGCTGTGCACTCATGATCTAATCACCTTTAAAAGGCCCTACCTCCTAATACTAGCACATTTGTGATTAGATTTCAACATACGAACCGGGGGGTGGGGCACAAACGTTCAGACCATAGCATTACAATTACATATACATGTTGTTTTCCCTGTTTTTCATTGTTCCCACAAGTACCAAGATGCTCCTCTGATTATTGTTATCAAAGCCAAATATGCATATGCATGGTATTTTGTGTTCTCTGAAAAGCTTGGGAAATATGCATATATGTTTATAAGTAAATGTGATGCAAATCTTCGTCAACTTTTTCTAAATAGACATTTGATCACGAGTTTAAAATCTGAATTAGCAGAATTTTTTTTTGGCATGAGCAGACAAAAGCTGCTTTAGGGAGATGTTTTAAAGAATTGGGGAAAATATCCTAAACACAAATAAGTGAAAGATGGATAAAATTATATGGAATTTCTGCTAACAATTCTGTGGCAACAAATCTGAAATCTAAAAGAAAGAAAAATTGTCTGGCAAGATCTAAATTGACAAAATTGACACTTCACAAAGTGAAAACCATGACTTTTCAAAAGCAATTAAACATACGCTATTAGAATAAGTAAGGGAGCCCAGTGGACTCATAGATGAGTTTAATCTAATTTCTAAAGAGCAGATACTTCCAAACTTACTCAAAATATTTCAGACCATGTAAAAAGATAGAAATGTTCACAGATTTTTATAAGGCCAGCATAACAATAATTCCAAAATATGTTAGATAGTTACAAAAGAAATCTGCGAGACTTATTTCATCATTGACTATTAATGAAAATTTTTAAATTATCTATTAGAAAATAGACTCCAATAATGCATGGAAAGAATTATATATTATGACAATTAGGGTTTACTACAGGAATGTAAAGGTGTTTTAATGTTAGAAAAAAAATCTATCAACATACTTCATTGTATCAACACATTAAAGGAGAAAATCCTTATTACAAATCAATTGACACTGAATATTCATTTGATACATTTTAGCAGGTATGTCTAATTAAAATTCCATGTACAATAGGAATGAAAAAACTTAATACAATTACCTATTTATCAAATATAACAGCAAAAATGCTCAATGTTAAAACACTTAGATACCTGTACTAATACAATTATCTATCTATGAAACATAATAGCAAATAGCAAATGTGCTAAATGTTAAAACACTTAGATAATTTCAATTAAAATCCAAAACAACATGGGGTGCTTGTTCCTGCAATTATTTGGTGTTGTCTCAAAAAGAATATATAAAGCTATCACATTTTGCTAATGAAATAATTATATGTCTTGTTTAGCTCAGAAGCTCTAATTTTTAATAACATATATGAATATGTGTGTATGTATTCATATATACACATATATGTATGTGTGTGTATGTGTGTATGCATGTGTATTCAGCAGCTTTCACTTATTCTTGCAAAAAGCACCTACATATAAAAATGAGAGAAGATATCTTATTCATGATAGCAGCACAATTTCAATCACCGTAATAGGAAGAAAAACTAGAAAATACCTAGGAATAAGGTAAGGAAGAAGGCAGAGAGAACCAGTAAAAAGAAAGCTATGAAATATTATTAAAAGAAATTAAATATGAAATCTATCTGAAAAAAGAAATACAAAAACCTGATGTCAGAAGGTATACGTCTCTCTAAAATATGTGTATTAAATACAAATTTAATGTAACATACTATAATTATTTATAGATTTGTATAAAATATTCTTAAAGCATAAATGAAAAAATAACTTCTGGATAAAAGCATGGAAAAGAATAGTGATGGTACCAGATATCAGAACATAACCCAAAGCCATTGGTGATGAGCAGAATAATGGCCTCCAAAGATTATCTACACACTAATCCACAGAGCCTGTGAATATGTTGCACTACATGGCTAAAGGGGCTTTGGAGGTGTGATTAATGTTAAGGACCTCTAGATGGAGAAATTAGTCTGGATTACCCAGGTACGTCCAATCTAATTATTCAAGTTCTTAAAAGCATTCTTTCCTGCTGCAGAAAATAAAAGAGACATCAGTGTGTGAATGACGACTTTCTGTTGCTGACTTGGAAGACAGAGGAATTGGGTCATGAGCCGAGGAAGGTGGGCAGCTTCTAAAAGGCGGAAAAGGTGAGTAAACTGATTTTCCCCTAGAACCTCCAGAAATGGAGACAACTTTGCCAAGACCTTGATTTTACCCCAATGAGACCCATGTCAGACTTTTGTGCTATAAAACTGTGAAATAATACATTTGTGCTGTTTAATTGCCAAGTTTGTGGTAAATTATTACAGCAGCAATAAAACACTAACAAACCATTACAATAAACTAGATGTGTTATTGGAGAAGAAATAGAAAGCAGGTCAGTGAAACATAAGATAATTTAGAAATAGATCCCCATTTATATAAACATTGAGTGTTTGTCAAGGTGGCCATTCTATTCAATGCAGAAGGGGAAATGGGAAATAGGTTATTAATTGAGGTGATACAAGTTCTATCTGGAAGAAAATAAAACAGAATCCTTATCTTGGACAATGAATAAGGAATAACTCCTCATGGATTTTAGCTTTTGTGGAAAAAGTGAGTAAAATCTTAAGAACTAGGAGATGACAGGTGTATCATATATTACAAATTCATAGTAGGGCATTGACACGGTTGTGGGGAGAGACAATATAGGTGAAAGGCAAACAGAGGAGGAAGCCAACTGACAAAAAAAAAGACATCTAAAGAGTACGTATGATATAATATCATATAGATGTACAATTGTATATGATTATATATAAATGTTAATGTAACAAAAACAATTATTTGCACATGAGTC
The DNA here is from genome assembly GCF_000001405.40 of Homo sapiens. Classification (NCBI taxonomy): domain Eukaryota; kingdom Metazoa; phylum Chordata; class Mammalia; order Primates; family Hominidae; genus Homo; species Homo sapiens. The sequence continues at coordinate 129,726,232 of NC_000004.12, read as the reverse complement.
TCTTTCATGTCATTTTCGTGCCTTTCAATTTTTGTAATCTTTAGTGATAAATGAATAATATTTGAACATTTATATAAATTACTGTGAATTACTAACATACTCATATTGCATAGAACACATAGTATAGAGAAAGATGCTTTTAGATACCAAGTTCTTAACTTTTTCAACATGTCCACAAGTTGTTCAGTATTATTAGATGTTCATTCAAACTCTCACTTGCCTGGAGTATCTCTGATCCCTATTTTATCATCCCTCATCTGTTCTGTGCTGACAGCTCTCCAGTTGAATTTTTCTTCTCCTTGCAGTCAAATTTTAACAATCTAGTTATCTTTTTCTCTCTTTATTATTCATCTGTCTTAAACCAAATGAGAGTTTCTTTTTTTTTTCCGGTGGGACTTACTCTCCACACTTTTTAAAAATGAAAGTAAATTTCTTTATTACAGAACTGAATTGAATTCAAATCAAAAAAGGTCTGAACCTCATTTAAAAGATGGTTTTGTAACTGAAGAATTGAAAGGATTTCTTTATGAACTAGCATCATCTTAAGACAAAGGATAAGGACCCTGAAGACAGCATTATAGTGAATCCCAGAGGTGCTCTCCAAAATGGTGCTAATACAGCCAAGAATACAGGTATGAGGAAGGATGTGGAAGGGTACCTTACAGGAGAAAGCACCACTTATCCACCAAGATGGCAGAGGCCTTCTTTTCTGACCCGTGGTACAAAAAGAAAACATTATAAGGAGAGACAATAGGCAAAAAAGAGCACACGAGAAGAAACATAGAATGAAAGAAAAGAGAGGGTCAAAGAGAAGAAAAATAAGATCACATGAAGGTGATAATACAATTTTATATAGAACACGGCAATTTGCAATCCACAAGCTGATCTAATATTTAATGTTTAAGAAATCCAGGCTGTGTAAATAAATTTTGGAAATGAGAACTCTCCAAGAGCAGACTCAAGGTGATCTGGGCTGGATCTTACTCCTTCCATGTCTCAGGTGGCCCCAGGAGGACAACATTGTCAAATAAAGTTTAGCCTAAAGCTGACTCCTTACTTATTTTAAGTTCAGCCTAAAGATTTATCTGTACATCATGAACTATAGCCTAAACGGAAGTATAAACAGGCTACAATCTACTCTTGTGCCAATCACTGAGTTTTGGCCAATCGATTGCGGTCAACAGTTCAAATCATGTTTGAATAAGACAAATGCCGAGCTGTTACCAATCTGGCTGTTTCTGTACCTCACTTCTGTTTTGTGTATGTCACTTTATTTTTTCTGTCCATAAATCCTCTTCCACCACGCAGCTGCGCTGCAGTCTCTGAGCCTACTCTGGCTCTGGAGGCGGCCCGATAGGCGAATTGTTCTTTGCTCAATTAAATTCTTAAATGTAATACGGCTGAAGTTTTTCCTTTAACAGTATACAACTGTGAAGTGGTTTTATCAGGCATCATAGGTGGAGAAATAGTAGACCAGAAGTGCAAGAGGCATATGCAACACCATTCCCTGCTGTACCAGTATTATCCAGTGACACCTTATCTGGTTATTAACCAAAGCTGCTTTGGCATAATTCCAGTGGCTGAAGTGAGAGGAAGCGAGGATATGGCTGACATTCTCCAAGAAGCAGTGACTTCAGAAGATGACTGGCATCTTGAACTTCAGGAAAATGCTTGGCCTTTTTAACTCTGAAAGTCTGTTTGAAACTCAGAAGAAGAAAATTAGGTGAATACAAAACTGCTGCCAAACTTAGAAACTTGGTTAAATATCCTGCAGAAAATATCATGGGCTTTTCAGAGTCCAGTTAAATATCTACAGATTATATTTCCAGTTTCATACCTGGGGCATTAACTCTATTCATTTTACTAGCTTTAGTGAATTTTACTTCTGGAGCATAACATTGCATTGAAAATGTGTCCTCTAACCTATGATATTTATGTATCGTTTAATATGAAATTTATGAGGTTCCATTTCTGATTTCCAAATGGATGCAAATTAGAACACAGGATATTTACATTCTTTCATTTCTAACCCACATACATAAAGTTTGACTTTAAAATGCCACTGTTCGTGTCTGTTTCATAGAAGCTCTAGGTATTTATACGTCCATTGTGTCTCTGGCACACTCTGAATTCCAGTTTTTAATCTAATATTGGGCAGGAATTGGCTATAAAAATACAATGCCATTGAGGACAGAGCTGGATTGCTTTTTTTCTGTTAATTCTTGAGAACTTTATAGTTTCTCAGGGAAGTATAATTTGTAACCACATCATCATCTAACACTTTTCCTGTCTTTTTTGGAGATTGACAGTTGAAAATCTATAAGATCTTTTTGCAACTAAGATCAGGAAAAAGATCACGAGAGGAAATATTTTGGTCAGTTCCTACTTATGTTGTTTAGACAGGATGAACCTGTAGAAAATGTGCCTTATTTGTTGAAAATAGAGAAGTGGTTGTTTTCCGAAATAAGTCGCTTATGTCCCACTTTTTTTTCAACTTTTACTATAGGCTTGCGGGTACAAGTGAAGGTTTGTTTACGTAAGTTAACACATGTCATAGGGGTTTGTTGTACATATTATTTCATCACCCAAGTATTAAGCCCAGTACCCAACAGTTATTTTTTCTGCTCCTCTCTCTCCTCTCACCCTTCCCCCTCGAGTAGACCTCAGTGCGTGTTGTTTCCTTCTTTGTGTTCATAAGTTCTCATCATTTAGCTCCCACTGATAAATGAGAACATGTGATATGAGGTTTTCTGTTCCTGCATTAGTTTGCTAAGGATAATGGCCTCTAACTCCCTCCATGTTTCTGTAAAAGACATGATTTTGTTATTTTTGATGCCTGCATAATATTCCATGGTGTATATGAACACATTTTCTTTATCCAGTCTGTCATTGATGGGCATTTGGGTTGATTCCATGTCTTTGCTATTGTGAATAGTACTGCAATGAACATTTGTGTGCATGTGTCTTTATGGTAAAATGATTTATATTCCTCTGGGTATGTAACCAGTAATGGGATTATTGGGTTGAATGATAATTCTGCTTTTAGTTCTTTGAGGAATCTCCATACTATTTTCCACAACGGTTGAACTAATTTACAGTCCCACCAACAGTATATAAGTGTTCCCTTTTCTCCACAACCTTGACAGACTCTGTTATTTTTTGACTTTGTAATAATAGCCATTCTGACTAGTGTGAAATGGTATCTCATTGTGGTTTTTATCTGCATTTCTCTAATGATCGGTGATATTGAGCTTTTTTTCATATGCCTGTTGGCCGCATGTATGTCTACTTTTGAGAAGTGTCTGTTCATGTTCTTTGCTCACTTTTTAATGAGGTTGTTTTTGTCTTGTAAATATGTTTAAGTTCTTTATAGATGGTGGATATTAGACCTTTGTCAGATGCATAGTTTGTAAATATTTTCTCCCATTCTGTAGACTGTCTATTTACTTTGTTGATAGTTTTCTTTTGCTGCACAGAAGCTCTTAAGTTGATCCCACTTGTCAATTTTGGCTTTTGTTCCGATTGCTTTTGGTGTCTTTGTCATGAAATATTTGCCTGTTCCTATGTCCAGGACAGTATTGCCTAGGTTGTCTTCCAGGGTTTTTATAGTTTCAGGTTTTACACTTAGGTATTTAATCCATCTTGAGTTGATTTTTGTGTATGGTGTAAGGAAGGGGTCCAGCTTCAGTCTTTTGCATGTGGCTAGCCGCTTATCCCAGCACCATTTATTGAATAGGAAGTCTTTTCCCCATTGCTTTTTTTTGTCAGTTTTGTTGAAGATCAGATGGCCATAGATGTGTGGCCTTATTTCTGGACTCTCTACTCTGTTCCATTGGTCTATGTGCCTGTTTTTCTACCAGTACCATGCTGCTTGGTTACAGTAGTCTTGTAGTATGGTTTGAAGTCAGTTAATGTGATGCCTCCAGCTTTGTTCTTTTTGTTTAGGATTGCTTTGGCTATTCAGGCTCTTTTTTGGTTCCATATGAATTTTAAAATAGTTTTTAGTTCCATGAGGAGTGTCATCAGAATAGCATTGAATCTGTTAATTGCTTTGGGCAATATAGCCCATTTCAATGATATTAATTCTTCCTATCCAGGAGCATGGGATCTTCTTCCTTTTGTTTGTGTCTTTGATGTCTTTGAGCAGTGTTATGCTATTCTCATTGTAAAGATCTTTCACCTCCTTGTCTAGCTGTATTCCTAGTCATTTTATTCTTTTTCTGGCAATTGGGAATGGGATTGCCTTTTCTGATTTGGCTCTTGGTCTGGCTGCTGTTGGTATATAGAAATGCTAGTGATTTTTATACATTGATTTTGTATCCTGCAAACTTTGCTGAAGTTGTTTATCAGCTGGAAGACACTTGGGGCCAAGACTATGGGGTGTTCTGGGTTTTCTGGATATAAAGTCATGTCATCTGGAAACAGAGATAGTTTGACATTCTCTCTTCCTATTTGGATGCCCTTATATTCCACTGCTTTTAGTAAACATATTATGTTGGTTAAACACTGTTAATCAATTTGCATTTCTACAGGTGATATTTGGGTGGTAAAATACAAATCTAGGATTTGAAATCATAAATAATTTTTAAGAATTCCTGCAGCAGTTCCAAGATGGCTGAATAAGAACAGCTCCAGTATACAGCTCCCAGCGTGAGCGACGCAGAAGACGGGTGATTTCTACATTTCCAACTGAGGTACTGGGCTCATCTCACTGGGGCTTGTCAGACAGTGGGGGCAGGACACTGGGTGCAGCCCACTGAGCATGACCCAAAGCAGGGTGAGGCATCACCTCACCCGGGAAGTGCAAGGGGTCAGGGAATTCCCTTTCCTAGACAAGGGAAGCAGTGACGGACGGCACCTGGAAAATTGGGTCACTCCCCCTTAATACTGCGCTTTTCCAATGGTCTTAGCAAACGGCATACCAGGAGATTATATCCCACACCTGGCTTGGAGGGTCCCACACCCATGGAGCCTCGCTCATTGCTAGCTCGGCAATCTGAGATTGATCTGCAAGGCAGCAGCGAGGCTGGGGGAGGGACGCCCGCCATTGCTAAGGCTTGAGTAGGTAAACAAAGCGGCCAGGAAGTTCGAACTGGGTGGAGCCCACCACAGCTCAAGGAGGCCTGCCTGTCTCTGTAGACTCCACCTCTGGGGGCAGGGCATAGCTGAACAAAAGGCAGGAGAAACCTCTGCAGACTTAAATGTCGTCCCTGTCTGACAGCTTTGAAGTGAGTAGTGGTTCTCCCAGCACAGAGTTTGAGATCTGAGAATGGACAGACTGCCCCCTCAAGTGGGTCCCTGACACCCGAGTAGCCTAACTGGGGGGCACCCTCCAGGAGGGGCAGACTGAAACCTCACACAGCTGGGTACCCCTTTGAGATGAAGCTTCCAGAGGAACGATCAGGTAGCAACATTTGCGGTTCACCAATATTCGCTGTTCTGCAGCTTCTGCTGCTGATACCCAGGCAAACAGGGTCTGGAGTGGACCTCCCACAAACTCCAACAACAGATCTGCAGCTGAGGGTCCTGACTGTTAGAAGGAAAACTAACAAACAGAAAGACATCCACACCAAAACCCCATCTGTACATCACCATCATCAAAGACCAAAGGTAGATAAAACCACAAAGATGGGGAAAAAACAGAGCAGAAAAACTGAAAATTCTACAAATCAGAGCACCTCTCCCCCTCCAAAGGAAGACAGCTCCTCGCCAGCAACAGAACAAAGCTGGACAGAGAATGACTTTGATGAGTTGAGAGAAGAAGGCTTCAGACAATCAAACTTCTCCGAGCTAAAGGAGGAAGTTCGAACCCATCACAAAGAAGTTAAAAACCTTGAAAAAAGATTAGACGAATGGCTAACTAGAATAACCAACGCAGAGAAGTCTTTAAAGGACATGATGCAGCTGAAAACCATAGCACGAGAACTACGTGACGAATGCACAAGCTTCAGTAGCCGATTCGATCAACTGGAAGAAAGGGTATCAGTGATGGAAGATCAAATGAATGAAATGAAGTGAGAAGAGAAGTTTAGAGAAAAAAGAGTAAAAAGAAAGGAACAAAGCCTCCAAGAAATATGGGACTATGTGAAAAGACCAAATCTACATCTGATTGGTGTACCTGAAAGTGACAGGGAGAATGGAACCAAGTTGGAAAACACTCTTCAGGATATTATCCAGGAGAACTTCCCCAACCTAGCAAGGCAGGCCAAAATTCAAATTCAGAAAATACAGAGAATGCCACAAAGATAATCCTCGAGAAGAGCAATGCCAAGACACATAATTGTCGGATTCACCAAAGTTGAAATGGAGGAAAAAATGTTAAGGGCAGCCAGAGAGAAAGGTTGGGTTACCCACAAACGGAAGCCCATCAAACTAACAGTGGATCTCTCAGCAGAAACTCTACAAGCAAGAAGAGAATGGGGGTCAATATTCAACATTTTTAAAGAAAATAATTTTCAACCGAGAATTTCATATCCAGCCAAAGTAAGCTTCATAAGTGAAGGAGAAATAAAATCCTTTATAGACAAGCAAATGCTGACAGGTTTTGTCACCATCAGGCCTGCCCTACAAGAGCTCTTGAAGGAAGCACTAAACATGGAAAGGAACAACCAGTACCAGCCACAGCAACAACATGACAAATTGTAAAGACTATCAATGCTAGGAAGAAACTGCATCAACTAACAAGCAAAACAACCAGCTAACATCCTAATGACAGGATCAAATTCACACATACAAATATTAACCTTAAATGTAAATGGGCTAAATGCTACAATTAAAAGACACAGACTGGTAAATTGGATAAACAGTCAAGACCTATCAGTGTGCTGTATTCAGGAGACCCATCTCACATGCAGAGACACACATAGGCTCAAAATAAAGGGATGGAGGAAGATCTACGAAGCAAATGGAAAACAAGAAAAGGCAGGGGTTGCAATCCTAGTCTCTGATAAAACAGACTTTAAACCAACAAAGATTACAAGAGACAAAGAAGGCCATTACATAATGGTAAAGGGATCAATTCAACAAGAAGAGCTTACTATCCTAAACATACATGCACCCAATACAGGAGCACCCAGATTCATAAAGCAAGTCCTTAGAGACCTACAAAGAGACTTAGACTCCCACACAATAATAATGGGAGACTTTAATACCCCACTGTCAACATTAGACAGATCAATGAGACAGAAAGTTAACAAGGATATCCAGGAATTGAACTCAGCTCTGTACCAAGTGGACCTAATAGACATCTACAGAACTCTCCACCCCAAATCAACAGAATGTACATTCTTCTCAGCACCACATTGTACTTATTCTAAAACTGACCACACAGTTGGAAGTAAAGCACTCCTCAGCAAATGGAAAAGAACAGAAATTATAACAAACTGTCTCTCAGACCACAGTGCAATCAAACTAGAACTCAGGATTAAGAAACTCACTCAAAACCACTCAACTACATGGAAACTGAACAACCTGCTCCTGAATGACTACTGAGTACATAACGAAATGAAGGCAGAAATAAAGATGTTCTTTGAAACCAATGAGAACAAAGATGCAACATACCAGAATCTCTGGGACACATTTAAAGCAGTGTGTAGAGGGAAATTTATAGCACTAAATGCCCACAAGAGAAAGCAGGAAAGATCCAAAATTGACACCCTAACATCACAATTAAAAGAACTAGAGAAGCTAGAGCAAACACATTCAAAAGCTAGCAGAGGGCAAGAAATAACTAAGATCAGAGCAGACCTGAAGGAGATAGAGACATAAAAACCCTTCAAAAAATCAATGAATCCAGGAACTGGTTTTTTGGAAAGATCAACAAAATTGATAGACCACTAGGAAGACTAATAAAGAAGAAAAGAGAGAAGAATCAAATAGATGCAATAAAAAATGATAAAGGGGATATCACCACCAATCTCACAGAAATACAAATTACCATCAGAGAATACTGTAAACACCTCTATGCAAATAAACTAGAAAATCTAGAAGAAATGGATAAATTCCTGGACACATACAACCTCCCAAGACTAAACCAGGAAGAAGTTGAATCCCTGAATAGACCAATAACAGCTCTAAAATTGAGGGAATAATTAATAGCCTACCAACCAAAAAAAGTCCAGGACCAGATGGATTCACAGCCAAATTCTACCAGATGTACAAGGAGGAGCTGGTCCCATTCCTTCTGAAACTATTCCAATCAATAGAAAATGAAGGAATCCTCCCTAACTCATTTTATGAGGCCAGCATCATCCTGATACCAAAGCCTGGCAGAGACACTACAAAAAAAGAGAATTTTAGACCAATACCCCTGATGAACATTGATGCAGAAATCCTCAATAAAATACTGGCAAACCAAATCTAGCACACATCATCAAAAAGCTTATCGACCATGATCGAGTGGGCTTCATCCCCGGGATGCAAGGCTGGTTCGGCATACACAAATCAATAAATGTAATCCAGCATATAAACAGAACCAAAGACAAAAACCACATGATTATCTCAATAGATGCAGAAAAGGCCTTTGACAAAATTCAACAGCCCTTCATGCTAAAAACTCTCAAGAAATTAGGTATTGATGGGACGTATCTCAAAATAATAAGAGCTTTTTATGACAAACCCACAGCCACTATCATACTGAATGGGCAAAAACTGGAAGCATTCCCTTTGAAAACTGGCACAAGACAGGAATGTCCTTTCTCACCACTCCTATTCAACATACTGTTGGAAGTTCTGGCCAGGGCAATCAGGCAGGAGAAGGAAATAAAGTGTATTCAATCAGGAAAAGAGGAAGTCAAATTGTCCCTGTTTGCAGATGACATGATTGTATATCTAGAAAAACCCCATCATCTCAGCCCCAAATCTCCTTAAGCTGATAAGCAACTTCAGCAAACTCTCAGGATACAAAATCAATGTGCAAAAAGCACAAGCATTCTTATACACCAATAACAGACAAACAGAGAGCCAAATCATGAGTGAACTCCCATTCACAATTGCTTCAAAGAGAATAAAATACCTAGGAATCCAACTTACAAGGGATGTGAAGGACCTCTTCAAGGAGAACTACAAACCACTGCTCAATGAAATTAAAGAGGACACACACAAATGGAAAAACATTCCATGCTTATGGATAGGAAGAATCAATATCGTGAAAATGGCCATACTGCCCAAGGTAATTTATAAATTCAATGCCATCCCCATCAAGCTACCAATGACTTTCTTCACAGAATTGGAAAAAACTACTTTAAAGTTCATATGGAACCAAAAAAGGGCCCGCATTGCCAAGACAATCCTAAGGCAAAAGAACAAAGTCATGCTACCTGACTTCAAACTATACTACAAGGCTATAGTAACGAAAACAGCATGGTACTGGTACGAAAGCAGAGATATAGACCAATGGAACAGAACAGAGCCCTTGGAAATAATACCACACATTTACAACCATCTGATCTTTGAAAAACCTGACAAAAACAAGAAATGGGGAAAGGATTCCCTATTTAATAAATGGTGCTGGGAAAACTGGCTAGCCATACGTAGAAAGCTGAAACTGGATCCCTTCCTTACACCTTGTACAAAAATTAATTCAAGATGGATTAAAGACTTAAATGTTAGACCTAAAACCATAAAAATCCTAGAAGAAAACCTAGGCAATACCATTCAGGACATAGGCATGGGCAAGGACTTCTTGTCTAAAACACCAAAAGCAATGGCAACAAAAGCCAAAATTGACAAATGGGATCTAATTAAACTAAAGAGCTTCTGCACAGCAAAAGAAACTACCATCAGAGTGAACAGGCAACCTACAGAATGGGAGAAAATTTTTGCAATCTACTCATCTGATAAAAGGCTAATATCCAGAATCTACAAAGAACTCAAACAAGTTTACAAGAAAAAGAAAAAACCCTTCAACAAGTGGGTGAAGGATATGAACAGACACTTCTCAAAAGAAGACATTTATGCAGCCAAAAGACACATGAAAAAATGCTCATCATCACTGGCCATCAGAGAAATGCAAATCAAAACCACAATGAGATACCATCTCACACCAGTTAGAATGGCGATCATTAAAAAGTCAGGAAACAACAGGTGCTCGAGAGGATGTGGAGAAATAGGAACACTTTTACACTGTTGGTGGGACTGTAAACTAGTTCAACCATTGTGGAAGACAGTGTGGCGATTCCTCAAGGATCTAGAACTAGAAGTACCATTTACCCAGCCATCCCATTACTGGGTATATACCCAAAGGATTATAAATCATGCTGCTATAAAGACACATGCACATGTATGTTTATTGTGGCACTGTTCACAATAGCAAAGATTTGGAACCAACCCAAATGTCTACCAATGATAGACTGGATTAAGAAAATGTGGCACATATACACCACGGAATGCTATGCAGCCATAAAAAAGGATGAGTTCATGTCCTTTGTAGGGACATGGATGAAGCTGGAAACCATCATTCTCAGCAAACTATTGCAAGGACAAAAAACCAAACACTGCATGTTCTTACTCATAGGTGGGAATTGAACAATGACAACACATGGACACAGGAAGGGGAACATCACACACCGAGGCCCGTCATGGGGTGGGGGAGGAGGAGGGATAGCATTAGGAGATATACCTAATGTAAATGACGGGTTAATGAGTGCAGCACACCAACATGGCGCATGTATACATATGTAACAAACCTGCACGTTGTGCACATGTACCCTAGAACTTACAATAAAAAAAAAAAAGAATTTCTTTCAAAGGTGATAAATAGTACTGATTGGACAAGTATACTTTGAATATAGTCCCTGATTTTGCAATGATAGTTTCATAATAAGAAAGCCTACTTTAAGGAAGCCAATTTTTTTGTGTTTGTTTGTTTGAGACAGAGTCTCGCTCTGTGGCCAGGCTGGAGTGCAGTGGTGTGCTCTTGGCTCACTGCAACCTCCACCTCCCAAGTTCAGGTGGTTCTCCTGCCTCAGCCTCCTGAGTAGTTGGGATTAGAGGCATGCACCACCATGCCCAGCTAATTTTTGTATTTTTAGTAGAGATGGGGTTTCAACACGTTAGCCAGGATGGTCTCAATCTCCTGACCTCGTGATCTGCCTGCCGCAGCCTCCCAATGTGCTGGGATTACAGGCATGAGCCACCACACCCAGCCCAGAAACCAATATTTTTATGTGCTGCATTTGGGCAAAATACTTGACACGTTGGTAATTTTGGCATGTAATTTTTAGTTATAAAATAATGACATGAGTAATTCTCCTTCATGAATTGAAATACAGGAAAATATCATGAATATTTCAAGAAAGACATGTTATTGTGTATGCTTCCTAGAGTGTTTTCACTTTTCTTCTATTTGTTTATCATGCTAAATTGTTTGTACTTACAACTTATCTCTGTTTTCTGATAAATTTGTGATTTATAAGCTGTTACTTCACTTTAAAAACTTCATGTGACCAATAAAGTGTTCTTATCATCTTGTAAATGTCTTATTAGTCTTGAACTCTATAAAGCCTGTGTTGAAATAACAAAATAATATGCAGAAAGATTTTAATAAATAAGCAATTTTTAAAATGAGAGATAAATTATTTTAAATATTTTAAGATATTTTAAGTTTAAAAGAGATAAAAATATTTAAAAATATTTAAAAAGAAATATTTTAAATCTGTTTTATTCAGATTGCATACAATCTGAATAAAAAGTATATTAATGTGTGCAGATAGAAAAAATTTGATCTTCTCTTTCCTATTCAAGATAAAGTCACAGTGATGTGTATTACAAACTCAACAGAAATTTCTAACACTGGGTTCTGGGTCCTGATTCTGTCACTGGATGTATAATGGTGGCAGATGATAAGCCTCCACTCTTCAGCTTTTCTCCTTGTAATATGGAGTTGCTAATTTTTAACCTTATTTGATAAGTTTACTATGAAAGGGAAGTTTATATGTAAAAATGTTCTATAAATAACAAAGGTATACACCAATATAAGATGACATTGTTATAATTAACAAGCTTTTCAATCATGCTTTTTGTCAAATTTAAAGAAAACAAATCCCAAATAATATGATCCTATGAAGATCCTTTAGATATCTCTAGAATCTAGAGCTCTTAACTCAGAATAGAACTTTAGGTATTAAAATATTATGACTGAATTCAGAATGTTGCCTTTGTAGTTTCTATGCCTTTCATAACACATTTTGTTTTTTTTTTTTTAAATTTATTCCATTAAACCTTTTTAGAATAAAGGTTAAAATTAGTATCAAAGGAAATATTTTCCAACAGATTTTCAAAGTTTTACCGCTTGAGCTCTGTGTACAAGAACAATTCATACTGTGTCCTATTTTTATATTCAAGTATCTATAAGTTTATAGAAATCGATTTTGAAGTTATAAATAGGTGCAAATTTAACCTACTCCTGAACTTTGTTTTTTTGTTTGTTTGTTCCTTTGTTTTGTTTTGTTTCGAGACAGAGTCTCTCTATGTCTCCAGGCTGGAGTGTAGTGGAGCAATCTTGGCTCACTTCAACCTCCGTCTCCTGGGTTCAAGCGATTCTCCTGCCTCAACCTCCCGAGTAGCTGGGACTACAAGCGCAAGCCACCACGCCCTGCTAATTTTTGCATTTTTAGTAGAGACGGGGTTTCACCATGTTGTCCAGGATGGTCTCAATCTCCTGACCTCGTGATCCACCTGCTTCGGCCTCCCAAAGTGCTGGGATTACAGGCGTGAGCCACTGCACCTGGCTCCTACTCCTGAACTTTAAGATAACTTTTTTTAAAAGAGAAAAAAGTAAAATTATTTATTTTTATTTATTATAAAGAATAATTTTCTATTGTGCTTTTATCTTTGCAAACAAATATACCTTCAGTAAAGTAACTTAAATGAAGATTTCTTTTGTTTTTATCATATGTCTTCGTAAGATTAAACAGCTGTTGACTTTTTAATTAAACAGCATGTTTAATTAATAGGGAATTTTCTCCGTGGTCCAGGATCAGGGCATTTATATCTTTTTAGTGCTAAGAAACCAATCATCTTAGATAACTGCAGTCCAGAAGCCAAAATTCTGTAATAGAATCATTAATATTTATGTACACAGAAATATATTTAATGGTAAACCATTAAAATATTTTATAATATCCATTAAGGTACATTATTTTATGATTTTGTAATAATTTCAAAAATGCTGTTATTAGCTTTCAGATTGTAGGAAAACTTGATAAAGTATTTCAGAAATTTGAAATCTTTAAAGTATAATAAAATTGTTTCATATATTGAAGCATATTTATATCTACTTGAATATTTCTTTGCATCATCATTTTGTGTTTTCTTTTCTTTGCGTCATCATTTTGTGTTTTCTTTTACATTATTGTGTTTTCTTTTACGTTACTACTATTCTTTCCATTTTTCCCTAAGTATGAAATTCTACCCTAATTTTTAAAGTTATTTCTTCCTGGCCAAATAATTAAACAGAAAAAATATATAACAAATAAAAGACAAATTAAAATAATTTTATAATTCATTGAATTAAAAATACCCATAATTTCTCCCAACAACATAGATTGTTTTTCTCATCAAGCTTTTTTTTTCCTTCTAACCACATTAAGACAAAATTTTAGACGACTTTACCTCATCTCTCTTCTGCCTTTTTCTTGGTCTCACCCCTGAAAAATAATAAAAATATGGGGTAGAGTATTATTACCCTCCTCCTCAACATATCTCCAATGCAGAGATTTGGTGAAATTGTTTACTACTGTTAGGTAAGTGTTATTATTGGAAGTTCTCCTACTGTGGATCCCTTTTGCTACAAGAGTTCTTGTAACAGATATTGAGATGGATATTGCATATTCTAAGTGTATCCCATTTATTTAGTATCAATTATTACAGAAGGCAGGAGACAGAAATGTTAATTACCCCGTTTTCTCTCTTCTTCCATTTTAAGGCCTTTGTTCTAGTTCACATATTGTTAGTTGGCACAAAGCCTCTTCCTTGAATGTTTTCCTCATAGGAGTTACATAAATGATGTGTTTTTTTGATTCTTAATATCTTTTTTCTTCCCCTGGAAAGTTAGCATATCAGGATTTTTGGATTGTAGAACTTTCTGTTCATCAGTTCATAAGTGCTCTTAGTATTCTGCTGCCCACAGTTGCAAATTAAAAGTCTGGTACCAATCTAAGTTATTTTTCCTATTTGACTAGAAGCTCAAAATTTTTCTTTTTCATGAGTATACAAGAAATTTAGTAGGTTATATCCAAGTATATTCTGTTTCTCTTGTCGAGTCTGAAAGTTGACAAAGATACTTAATCAATGAGTCTCAGATCTCTATCACAGGAAAACTTTCTTCTATAATTTCTTTACTTATCACTTCTAACACATATTAATTTTTTTCTGGAACTATGTTAATCACCTGTTAGTTCACCAGGATATATCTTCTATGCATTTTTTCCTTTTTCTCATAATTTATACCTCTATATAATTTGCCTTGCTCTTTGAGCCATTTCTTGCACTTAAATTTATAGACCATTAATTCAGATCTTAGGTGAACATCTTATCTTTAAATCACTTAATAAATTATTTAGCTAGCAAATCCATTTTTTCATTTTATTTTGTTTTTGGTAAGAGAATTTATTTTTCTTGTGTGCTTCTGTCATTACATTTTATTCAAGTGGCTATCTCATGCAACAGCCATGTTCTACTGAATACATATCATCCTGTTCAGATTGATTACTCTCTTGGAGAACTGGCTGATTTAGATGGGATGTAACTCATCCAACTGAGCTCATGGGGCTCAGGTCTAGTTGTTTTTCCAAAGCATCGTAGTCTTACAGGGGCTGGAGACAAAGCAATCTCATCCCTTATGGACCATGGACAAGTAAAAAGACAGGTTGCCAGGCTTTGCTGAAACTCCCAAAGTCTCTCTCATTTCCCTAAATTATACCTGCCTTGGGTCTGGTGAGGCTTGGCCCAACTGTTCATTGACTTTGTGCTCAAAGAAACCAGATATCTTAAGACAAGTTCATGTCACTACAGTTTCTACAATTCTCTGAGAACCTATAACTTCCCAGGATACTCCATCGCCCATATCTGCCTTAAGGCTTTCAATTGCTAGCCCTCTTTATGTAACTCCAATAAAATCTAGGTTTCACTTGCCTATACTCATTGACAAAAGGCACAAACTACCATAAGGCTCAGGGGAAGTAGGTTGATTGAGGCTGGGATTAGAGGTGGAGGGGGAAGAATACATGTTCATGTTGCATGTTTCCTATTTGTTCCCAGAACCCTCCCACAGGGTTATAAAAAACTAACTTACACAATTTTTGTTAGTGTTAAGCTATGTGGAATTAGACCACAGTGTTGTGTGTGCATGTTTGTGTGTATTTATAAAGACTTATTGACATTGATTCATTAAAAATGACAGATTACTCATGAAATTTTATTTCTAGATCATGGAAAGATAAGTGATTTTTGTTTTTAATTGTCTTTCTTGTGTTTTATTGGGTTCTCCAAGTTTTCTACTGTGTGTGCATGTATGTTTTTGTGTGTGTGTGTGTGTGTGTGTGTGTGTGTGTGTATATATATAGTGATTATATAATCAAAAAATGTTTTTCTAACACCTTAGGTGTTCAAAGTGTCATTTAAAATGTATTTATTATTTTAGTTTGTCTACTATGTTTTTGAGTTTGAAGTCTGAGTAGGTCACATTATTTGACTTGCTTTTAGATATTTCATGTATCTAGAAGTGTTTTAAAATTGTGAATTTCTTCTTTTTTTAAACTAAAAAGGTAGTAGTTGTTGAAGTTTTATCTACTGATAAAGACTATATCCTCTATCTATTTTGAAGCCTTCACTAGTCTGGTCTCTTATCAAGTGCAGCTTCGCTTTCCTTTTTTTTTTTTATCATACATATGTGAAATTATACTTTTCAGCAGTCTACTACAGAATCCTGTTGAGAAAGAAATATATTATCTCAGCTGGACAAAACTCCACTAAAATATTGAAAATGAATGAATGGCAGAAACACTGAGAAGAAAATTTAGAGTGTAACCAAATAGTACCTAAGTAATAGTGACTTAAAAGTTAATGGCACCTCTGTCAGGCATAATATATAGATTTAACAGAAGGAAATACATGTTACCTAAAGGAAAGTCATGAACCCTGCTCTATTTCTTGAAATAAATCAATACTTTTTTTTTAAATATAAAGCTTATTTTTTAAAATCTAAATCACATCCTTAGATTCTACATGGGTGGAGAGAATAATTTATAAAGTCAATCTAACATTTCTTATTCACAAAGTTGGAAAAAGTCAAAGAACAAAGTTTTATTTATTTAGCAATGGGTCTAAGAGGCATCATCAGATTCTAGGTTGGATCATCAAGGTTGGATGTTTACTAGCGCTTCTAAGTTTCCTAGGAAGGAAGGTAGCCATTTGTTTTAGTGGAACTGGAAACCTGTATTATTTTTTCCTTCTATTGTAAGTCTTACTAAGTTGTATTTCAAGTTATATTTTACAAATTTAATCTCTCATTAAGCTCTGAGTCATTTAAGGGTTGATGGCGTATGTTATTTGTTTTTGTGTCATCAGTTTGGGTCACTGCTTAAATGAATGAATAAACCCTAAGGTAATTTGTAACAGGTTAAAAGAAACCAAGAAAATAAGACAAACAGGCACAAAAATAAAAAACAAATACAAAACAAAATGAAAACTCTAATTACTTTTATAGAACAAGCAAAGCAAACAATTGGCCAGATTTTGAAAGCTCTTATAACAAAATGAAGTGGAGTTACGTTTATTTTATTTTAAAGAACCTTTCTCTACTTATGTTATCATATAGAGGAGATGCTTTATATCTATCTGTTATTACCACAACAATAGCAGGATCCAGTAAAACACAATTAAAAAAAAAAAAGGGAACGTTATCTCCGGTATCAGTCAAAGTTGTGCTTCAACTAATAAACGGGATTTCAGAGATTGAAATAAAGTAAGCGGTCGTTCATTTATACAGGCAATTCAGGGCTGGTTTAAAATGTTTTCAAAGTCATCAATGAAGTAGGCTTCTTTTGTCTATCTGTTGCACCGTAAGTTGTATACCTCTATCATCCTCAAGGTTGCCCCATGGTTCAAATATAACTGCTGAAGCTTCAGCCTTCACAGTTGTGACAGACAGGAAGAAAAGGAGTAATAAAAGAGTTTTACTTAAAGTGTGTTGGTCACAGGTCTCTTCAAGTAAATGTAGAGAGTGTAAATGTAGCTTTTGCGCATAGCACCCTGCCAGTATTCTGTTACGGAAAAAGAACAGAAGAATAGAGAGGAAGTCGAATACCAGCATTTTATACCACATGACAGCTTCAAAGAAAAACTGAGTTAAATAGGATCTTGATTTAGAATAAGATGTTCAAATTTAAAAACAATGCCTGGTGTTGGCATCTACTTATATGGGATATAGATTTTTAGATCAAACACTTGATCAAAGGATAATGTGTCTTTTTCTAAGAACATTCTGTTTACATGATAAACCTAAGTCATTTTTGCTGAAAGTCAAGGAGATCACAGTTTCTGTCTTTATACATAGTAGACTGATCTCTGGTTATCCATATTTACCCAAGCATGATATTTACCAATAATACAATTTATACACATTAGATATTATTTTTGTTCAAAATACGCTATACTCATACACCAGGCTGAGTTCATGGGTGTGTGTGACCTGTGCAGTCACACAGGGTGTCTCTCTTTAAAAGGTCCCTGCTCCAATTCTACTGTTCCCATCTTAAAAATTCTTAGTAACTTTTTAACAGGGGACTCGTGTTTTCATTTAGCATTAGGAACCACAAATTATGTAGCTGGTCCTGTTCCCATACAACATAGCTGAAGAGCTGAGAAAGTAATCAGAAACAGCAGTTTTGAATGTGTAATATCCAGGGAATGAAAAATAATTGTCTACTACTGGCTATAGATTAAATATATTTATGTTGCCACAGGTAACATTTACTAGACATTGTAAATAGCACACAATTTAGAAATCACATAAAATGTGACCCTGGAGCTAATTAAATTCAGCATCTAATGGAGTGAAATTTATTGACAGCTCACTAAAATGAATTAAGAGAAGCAGTAACTGCAGTGTGTTAAGAGTAATAAAATGTTGATTTTTTTTCCCTAAGCTCTTAGAAGATTATTACAAAATTGCTCTAGGCCACTTAGTTAATGTGCTACACCCAATTACTATCCTTAAATCAGTGAGGACATGTCTATTTATTGGAAAGTAACTTACTTGTTATTGTTTCTAATTTTTATTCATACTTTAAAAATTGGACACTTATTAAATACTGAAATTGAGCAAGGCACATCATCGATGTCAGGTTAATGACATGCAAAGACCAATTTGCATTGTATTATCCCTGTTTTCAGGCACTTTTCATTTCTAACATAATTTTAGCACAGGGAGCATGAATCTATGCAACTTTCAGATTTAATTTTTTAAAGCTGAAATTTTGCACAAAGAGTTTTATGGGCAAATACAGACTCATATTCACTTTACAGGGAAGAAAATCCATTTGAAAACTCTTTTTCAAGGACAGTGAAGATTATATCCAAGCCCCAACTGTTCAAGGAAATGAAAAAATATTTATAGCTGTTATCCATAATTGATTCATATCATCATGCTGCGTATTATACAAAAGGTTTTGACCCTGCCCTCTTTTATTCTACAGTCAAAGAAATTCAAAACAACCAAAAGAGGAAATAAAATGTATAGATGACAGTACATAGAGCTAAAACAGCAATGGAATCTGTGCTACTTTAAGAAAGCATAAAAAATTAAAATTGAAATGTCAAGGTAGAGATACATCAAAGTAAATTTTTAAATTGTACAAATTTGTCATTGATTATACCTATAAAAGGATTAGGTTCAATTGTTTTTTTACTTTAGTGTTTCAGATTTTGTTTTTTGTTTTTGTTTTAATTTTTTAAACCAGAGAGGTCCCTTAGAATAGTTAAATGCACAAGATTAACTTTGTAAGCTTTATAGCAATATTGGACTGAGGTATAAAGAAGTTCTCCTGACCACTGTCAGCCAGTAAAAGGCAATGCAAAATGTACTTTAACAAAGCTACATTTACACTTCATTTACATTTCTTTTTCTTTTTTTTTTTTCTTAAGTGAAAGCAAAGTCAGTTTATTAGAGGAACAGAGTATTGGAAATTGGCTGTTCCATAGACAGAGCAGGTTAGCCCATAGGCAGAGCAGCCAATTGTTTACATTTGTAATGTGATACTGCAGTGCAACTAAATACATGGATGTTAATTAGCTTGATTGTGGTGATCATTTCAACAATGCATACATATAGCAAACCATCAAGTTGTACACTTTAAATACATATAATTTTTATTTGTCAATTATACCTTTAAAAAGCTGAAGGAAAAATGCAGAGAACCGTTCAGGTTTTGCTCCAATTATTTGACTAATTGACACAATCTTCTACTTTATTAGTGAAGATGAATCCTTTAAAAGTTGATGATCTGGCAAAAGAGTGTTATCCTTATCTTGTACTAAATGAACACAGGCTAATGTAAAACTAAATGAATTCTGAAAAATGGAGCAGCAGGAGTCACAAATGCAGAAAACTAAGATGATCAAAAGCAACTCATCAGTCCTAAAAAAAATTCTGCTGTCCACAAAATGTTTAAGGCATCCACTCCTTCTAAAGGAATTATCTTTGCATCACATCAAAATGCAGTGTTTTCTCTATAATATTTTTAAGTGTAAAACCTGTAAGTTTTCACAGCACCATATTAAAGCATTGACACACGACCCTTTTAAAATCTTCAAGGGGAACCTACCTATGTTTAGTTTCATTATCTGCTGTACTGAGACAGAAAGTTAGATTAAGATATTTAAATGTTTCAATCTTTATATTTCAGAAACCCCATACCAAAAAAAACCCTTAAATATTTCAGTACAAAGGCTTTAAGAAAAGAAGAAGTACAACTAATTTAGAATTGATGCTTGCATGCTTTTTGTGAGAAGATGCTAGAGAGGCCATGGGATCAAGAACAGGTGGGATTATGCAAGCCAAGAGAAAAACTAATGTCTTTATTCTAAAGACGGATGGAAGGTGCTGAAGTATGTCCATAAGGAGATGCTCAGTGAGCTCATCCTCTTTCCTTTGTACCCATTGCTTAACGTAACCAAACATATGACACCCAAGCATAACTTCTTTCCAACTCTTTGACTAAACAATGTACTACTAGCTGTATAATAAATGTAATCTTAGAAAGATTAAGATGTTCACTCTTGAACATGTACATAGATGTGAAGACCAAACATATAATCTGAAAAAGCAGATCAAAAAATATATGAGCTTAAAAAAATAGAAAAGGAAAAAAATGTCTCAATGCTTTTGTTTAAGAATATGGACATTTTGATTTTCCTTTCTAAAGCCTGATTATCCTATTTATTTTAAACTAGTATTTTTTGTAGGAAAATGCTACATTTTTCTGTCTGTGACTAATAGCAAGATAGGTTTATGTCACATGAAAGCAATCATAAAGTAGAGCCTGAAACCCACATGTTAAAAAAAAAAAGTGGAAATTCAGGAGGGATTCAGAACAACAGAGAGCGGGCCTCCTCATCTTTTCCTGTGTACACTGAAACTACAAATGTCAATGACCATGGTCCAAAAAGATTCTGATATTGAATTTAGGAAATCTTTATGCACCTTATTTTCCCCCAATGAACTAAGAATATTTATAGTGGGAAGTGACGTTAGAAGCAAATTGTCTACTTTTTGCACAGTGGACCTTTCCCACAGAGCAGAATTTCCTTGCACTGACTCTGCATAAATATCTCAAGTGACAGCAGCTCTGTTCATGGACGGTTTGTGAAAATAGAATCTTCCTTTTTTTAACAACCACCCTTTTCACCTAATTTGTTCGACAGCAGCAATATAGAATTAGTTTTAAGTCCCCTTTAAATGGAATTACCACCATGTATTTGACCATATTTATTCTGTTTTCAATTTGTTTTCTCTTGTATATATCCACACATCTGATTCTTTCAACCACCCCTACAGAGACTTATTTGATTAGACCTCAGACTGCCTCTTTGAATTCCTTTTGCTCCACTTTCCTTGACCTACTATGCTCCAGACACTCTCATCTTTTTGTTCCTTGATCTAGAATATTCTTGCCTAGGTTTTCATGCTTACTGTTCCTAATGTCCTGTGCCTCCAGATCTTCACATGGTTAACTCCTTTGAATCTTTCAAATCTACATATGTGTTACCTCCTTTTCTACATAACACCTAGCATTTGAAACTATTTTGTTTACTTAGTGATAAATTATTTTTTTCTATTTCCCCCATACCAGAATACAAGCTCCATACTTATGGAGACCTTGACTATCTTACTAACTGCTGAATCTTACAATAAGTAGGGGAGTTCCTGACTCATAATACATGTATATAATAAAGATTTGCTTATGAGTGAATAAATGAATGTGTGTATATATACATATATATGACAAACGATCTGTGTTTTGCATAGCAGCTAGAGTGTTCTTATATAGTTATAACCCCCCAAAATTATATCACTCTTCTGTTTGCAGATATGAAAGGACTTCCCATTTGGGATCAATGTAGACAGTTGCACAGGTTATGCGCTACACGACTTTGTAGGCTGTTACTAACAATAGAGAGACCACAATGGCCATCACCTGCTAGAGCTGTGTAATACCAAGATGCTGTCCCATTTGTTCCTAGGATTAAATGCAAACTGCAATGCCTGGCTAATAGAACTCTCAGTATCTGGTTCCACTACTGTTTCTGTTTTGTCTTTCCTACTCTTCTCCCTTGAAATTACTCACCAAACTTCCTGATTTGCTATCAATTTCTCAAGACACCATACTTTCTCTGATTCACTAAGCCTTCTGAAGAGAATAAATTATGCCTCTTTTTTCATTCTGTGTTTCTTCCACACACTCTCCTCTGATTCCTAAACTTGAATAGGCACCTTCCTATATGTTCTCCTATTTTTTCTGCTTTTCCTGTAACATTAATCACCTCATTATGATTTTCAACAGTCTTTTCATTTCTTCTGTAAAGCTGGGGACATGTTTGTCATATTTATTATTGCATCACTAGTATCTTCCAGGGAGCCCATTGAATGTATCTGCATGAATGAATAAATAGTCAGAACATCCATTCCAAAT
The DNA here is from genome assembly GCF_000001405.40 of Homo sapiens. Taxonomy (NCBI): domain Eukaryota; kingdom Metazoa; phylum Chordata; class Mammalia; order Primates; family Hominidae; genus Homo; species Homo sapiens. The sequence continues at coordinate 129,704,042 of NC_000004.12, read as the reverse complement.
GCAATACCATCTCGGTCATTTTTCTTTGTGTTCTCTATTTCATCACTGTCCAATTTTGTAATGTCAAGCTTACATTTGATGTGTATTTCTGATGGAATTTTACCTTGTGTTAACCAGTACAGAAAAAACTGGGATAATGTGCTTTTGTTAATATAGTCTAGAGTATAATTAAATATATTATTACTTTAAACTTAAAATTTTCAAAAATATTATTCAGCTAAATATGCATTAACCAGAGTGATATTTAACTAGATTCGATTTGATTTGTGCCTTCTATTTCTATTTTACAAATGTCCTTAGCAAACATACTTATTTTCCCTTAAAATACAATTGCAAATAAAAGTTTGCTTTGAAATGATAGGCAAAATGTATTTAGGTTCATTTCCTTATTCTCACTAGCCCTAATTTGAATCCATTATTCATCAGGGCTTCATGCCTAGTTAAGAAACTTAACTTTTATATGGCAATTCAATCAGGTTTATTTCTGTCATTTTAAAAGGATATTATCAGATGTTTGAATGTCCCATATTGTGACCTCACCAGTTATAAACAACCCAAGGCTGTGGGAGCAAGAATAGGGGCCCCCTGGTGCTAGGGGTTCACCTTCATTAGAGTCACTCCACCATCCATCCTGTTTTCTGAGCAGCTCACTCAAAGCAAATACATTCTACTTCTTGCCATTAAGCCTGTTTTTTAAAAGCTACATACTCCCTATCACTTAATGTGCCTATAAAAGAGTCTTTACTCATGCTCAAATCCTTTAATTTTTAGCAGAGTTATTATCACAGAAATCCTAGTACCAGCCTTACAATATATATTCAAAGTGATATTTGAGTTGACCTATTATACAAGCAAATGGCTCTCTCCAGATTTTTAAAGTCAGGTGGATTCGTGCTGCTACTGTAATCTGATTATAAGCTAAGACAAAATTTTAATTTATTTTAAATGGCAACAAATTCAAAATGCAAATCAATGTCACTGTGATAGGATCAAATGCCTTTCAAACACAGAGCAGAGTTGGTAAGAATGATTTTCTTTGAGTATTATCTCTTAGGTATAAAATTAAGAACTAGATATTAAATCACACAGACGAACTGATCTTCTTAAGAAGCTCAATGAATATGAGAGGGAAATGAATGACATGAGCGGTATTAGACCTCGGCGAACGTGAGCAAAGAGTGGGGCAGGCTGAGGGTGTGAGATAAACAGCCCGGAGAAGAAAGATGGAAAAGGGGACAGTGAGTGGGAGCTGCAGAAAAGATACCAGTCAGGCTAGCAGCAGCAGGAGAGGGATAAGTGTGATAAAGAGCTTAAAAAGGTAAAAATGCCCATCAAGTTTCAGGTGGCAGATGTCACTGTGTATGAGTCCAGGGTGGAATCATAACCTAAGACAGAAGAGGATGTCAAATAGAAATAAATAATCAAAGACTTTTAAAAAGTCAGGAGGCCGGGCGCGGTGGCTCACGCTTGTAATCCCAGCACTTTGGGAGGCCGAGGCGGGCGGATCACGAGGTCAGGAGATCGAGACCATCCTGGCTAACACGGTGAAACCCCGTCTCTACTAAAAATACAAAAAAATTAGCCGGGCGCGGTGGCGGGCGCCTGTAGTCCCAGCTACTCGGGAGGCTGAGGCAGGAGAATGGCGTGAACCCGGGAGGCGGAGCTTGCAGTGAGCCGAGATTGCGCCACTGCACTCCAGCCTGGGAGACAGAGCGAGACTCCGTCTCAAAAAAAAAAAAAAAGAAAAAAATAAAAAGTCAGGAAAGGGCTTTGTTAGTTACCATTTTATTTGAAGACAACTGTGTTAATAAGACAATGATGAATATTCTAGGACAAACATAAAGGGCATTGTTGAAATGGTAGATATCAGTCAGGGGAATTGGAAATGAGCTTTCTTTAATTAGGAACCAGAGTGGAATACCAAATGTTAAAGCGACATTTGGAGATACTAAAGATGAGACAATATGTATTCATATGTTACTATTTGCTGATGGACCTGATGATACATTGCTGCAGAGGAACTTAAGGAGTGAATAATAGTTGGCCATCTGCTTGCAAACTTTGACAGCTTTTGAAGATAGTACTTTATAGGGAGCAAGGAGTAAAGAAAATAGTGTTTTACCCACTGCATCAAAGTTATATGGGAGAAAAGGGGTTGCCTTTTAATGAAGATAATTACCTCTTCTCGATAAGAGATGAAGGCACAAAGCTACAGCTGGATAATAAAAAATTCTTCTAGTGCAGAACAGCATAAAATTATATTCAGTTCAGGTCCCATGCATTATTAACTCCCTCGAAATTAAAGCATTTCTTTAGTCTCTGGTGAGGCAGAGGCATGTAATGGAAAGATCACAGCCTTTGAAGTCGGATAAACATGATTCAAAATCTGGCTTCACCATCTATAAGTATGACTTGGAGCAAATATGTTAACCAATCCTCATTTTGAAAATGAAGACAGCTACCTATGTCACATGGTTTTGAGTGGTCAAAAAGGTGAGTATGTTAGATGACCACCATAGTGATAGTGACTTTAATTGATTATTCACTTAGCCAATACCTGTTGAGTGCTACCACGTGTTAGGCACTGTGCTAGTGTCTAAATATACAAAGGTGATTGAATACAGATTAAACCCCCCTTCCCTCATGTAGTTTATAGACTTAATGAGGGAGATAGTCTCTAATCAGAAAATTACAAAACTAAATGTAGAAATAACAATCATGGTAAGTGCTGCAAACTAAGGGTGCATAAAATTATGAGAGTAAGTAACAAGATTATTTCATATACTCAGAAGGGCCAAGGAAGGCATCTGAAAAGTGGCAATTGAGCTGATATTAGAAGAAGAAGCTGGAGTTCACTGAGAGAAATAAAATGAAAACAGGAGAAAGCATGGGATGAGATTGGAGAGGCAGTGAGACTAAGATTACATAGACTAGAAAAGTTTTGAGGTGTATGCATAAGATCATCAATGAAAGCTACCACTTTTCCCCTTGCATCCATTGCTACTTTGCTACTATGGTCTTCTTTGTCTAACCAATGTGAAAACACCTAATGATGGCTGCTGTCTTTCTTAATATAATCGTAGCTGTATAGCAAATTAGGTCTTAAGAGAATTACAAAGTTCTTCTTAAGCGTATTAACATACATAATGGCCCGCCCTGTATAAATTGTAATGAGATAGAAATAGGATAATAAAAATAGGAGCAGGCACTGGGCAGAATCTGGGTCTCTGATTTCTAACTGCTTGAACAGCACAGCACAGGTCCTTTGACTAGCCCTTTCTCTGAAGAGCATGATTCTCTCTCACACTCACACTCCCCAGAAACTCCCCCATATTAAGATCCACTCCAATTCTTGCTTCTGGCTTCTCCATTGAAAAAGCAGAGATTCTCATAAACCTCTGAATGAGTTACTTACCTTAACTTATTCTATCAGGAGAGTCTAATTTACGTTGAACTAACAAAACAAAACAAAACAAAAAAACATAAAATGTTTTAAGGCAACACACATTTACACCGTGCTTATTTTTCATGGCTTTCACTGGTCGGCTGTGGCCTCTCATCTATATTGTCCTCATGGGTGGTGAGCATTTGGTCAAGGGAGTAGCTGCCATCTGGTCATGAATGCATGTCATAATTGTGTACACCTCATTGGCTAAAGCAAGTCACAAGACCTCATCTAATTTCAAAGGAGCAGAGACGTACAATCCTACTATGTTTCTGGGGTGAGAAGAACCAAAACAACTGCATTGACTGCCAATATTTACTATCATCAGGTTGTCAGAAGACTGAAAAGGAATCTCTCATGGCTGCTTCCAGGGCTTTCACTGCCTTTCATCCTGTATTGTGCCTTTTTTTAGTGTGATGACAACACGAACTCCAGGGCACTTATTCTAACAAACTTTCAGTTACTGCTGTTCTTCTTCAGCAGTTCTCCTGTAAGATACAAATCTTATTCACCTTCTCTTGCCTATAATTCTCTCCAAGCTAATGTCTCCTGGAACTGATAGATAGTAATCTCACTGATCAAAATAAGGCATTGCACTGGTATAGAGATGTATTTAAAAGGTATTTTGACAAATAATTTCTCATGTAATATCACAATCATCTTGAAGGTCAATAGTGTCTTTATTTTATAGGTGTCTTTATTTTGAATTTCATTTCAAAAAAATGAAATTCAGATTCATAAAGTGCCTAGCCAGGGTCATGTGCAAATAAATGATGAAGTCTAGATTTGAATCTATGTCTGATCACAGAATATATATTCCTTCCACAGAACTACACATTCCCAAATCCAACACCTAGTTTTCAGGATTAAACATTGTATATACATAAACTGTTATTCTACAGATCACACTACCAAAAAGCAAACAAAAACTTAGGGACTGATAAGGTACTCATAGTGTGCACACTCCGGAGACTCTGCTTCAAATTCATTAACTGAATGTAGGCGCTCAGAGTCCCAGTGCATTAACCTCATCAGACATTGCAGATGATAACTGACCCCACCCAAATAACGGGATATGCGGAGTATTGACATTAAATAATGGAGTCACGTCTTCCAAGTAGTAAAAGGATTAAAATACATTCAGAGATAAAAGAAGTAAAATACCCTTTCAAAATGTAAATTACTTCTTCCATAGCAACAATGATAATGTACTAATTATAGGAGTCAAATAAATTATTCAAGGACACTGCCATTTAGTTTGTTTCTTGACTCCATAGGGAAAAAGTAATTATGTCTAGCCCAGCCAAGCCTATGATAACAGCTGGCTATAAGGGAATGAAAGTGAAGGTAATGCCTTCAGAAATCCACCATGATGTTTCATATTTTAGTAAAAAAATGTCCTTGGAGGGACCTTCGAATCAATCAGTCTGAGGATTTCATTTTACATTCGAAGAAGTTGAGGCCCAGAGAGGTTAAGTACTTTTCTTGAGGTCACGTGGTTTGTGGCAGTACTTAAAGGCAGAAGGCATATTGTAACCATGAAAAGGCTGGGAAGAAAAATACCAATTGTTAAGCATGTTCTTTGATGCTTTATTCATATTGTCTCACCTCATGCTCAGATGAGCAAAATGAAAAAGATACCATTTTCTCTTTCACTGTAAATATATCAGGAAGTTAAAGATAAAATAGCCTACATTCACATAGTAAAGCACAGAGCCGGGACCCAAAGTCTCTTTTGCCTCCAAAGCCGAGTGCTTTCTCCTACATCAAAATGCCTGTGAGTATGTGCACCGCCTGCTGGTGTAGGGTTTAAGCATAGATAATGTTTTACCAACACTGCTATTTTAAGGAATTATTTGCTTTAGATCAATTTTGACTAAAGTCTCTTCTAGTGCTGTCATTCTAGGATGTCTGATTAATGTGATTGTGCCTTCTTGAAGCACTGTCTTATTTGAAGGGTTGGTTAGGTAATTGAAATAATTTAGGGATCATTAAGATGATTGAAATTGTCTTTCCGGATTATTGTCCCAGGCCTTTAGAATATCATCTAAATGAGGGGCCTTCTATAGAGAAGTTCCCTGAAGACTAAGGCAGTATTGTTCTCCAGATTTGCAATGGCTTCCCTTCCTGAGAAAAGAGTTGCTGTTGTGCTTCTGGAAAGTGAATAATCAAGTCCCCTTAGAGGAAATGGGGCCATCTCCACCTGGCCGCTCTAACCGCAACACACCATGTCTATGTGATTCAGGCTAGAAATAATAGAGTGGGAGATGGAATGATCCAACAGCTGAAGGATTCAACCACTCCTCTTATAGAACTTCCCCTTGCCTCACTGCCCTCTTCTAAGCACCTAGTGGCTTTGCCTTTCTATTTTTAAGATATGTACTGTCTAGTTGAGATGGGGACAGAGGTAAAGGGGCAGAACCCCCCAGGCAGTAGTGGTTACTGGTGGCAAATTAGCAACTTGCCTGACTCCTTAGACTTGCCTACATTCCTGACACAGTGCCTAGACCTCCTTGTATTTTCCTGATTGTATTTAATGTTTGTTTCAACCTGCCAGAGAGACTTCAAGCTACCATTCCTACCCACAACCAAAAGAGCACTCCCACAAAGAGACCTTCCAACTTAAGGTTTAGAGAAACGAGGGATTCAGCCTGGGCATACCTTGTGAATGAAAACTTAATCACAATCTTCCAGATTTCATTCAGGCACATTCTAGAATAGTTAACAGCTAGAAAGCACATGCAGTTATCCAAACACACAGTTTTTCTCAAATGCAGCATCTATGCTAGAGTCAATTGCAAAGGTCAGCTTTCCACTGTGGAGAAAACGCAAAACTCATTGTAAGGTCAGCATAAAGATTTCACTGTCTCCTTCCCTACCTCTCCCACCCCGTTCTCCATCCCTTGCTACTGATGCCTAACTGGACCCTAATTCAGATCTCTCCACTACATATTTGCTTGGAAACACAGAATGTTCCTTAATGTCTGGCATATTGCCACTGCTTACAATGAACTTCACTAGGAAGAAAAAGATTCAGGAAGGGTGGTGAGTTAAGTGGTGAGTGTAACCAGAGACCTATTATGAGCAGGAGCCACCTAGAACTTCCAATAGTTCCCAACCAAGATTATTATTATTATTACTATTATTATTATTATTTTCACAGAGTCTCCCTCTGACGCCTAGGCTGGAGTGCAGTGGCCTGATCCTGGCTCACTGCAACCTCCACCTCCCATGTTCAAGTGATTCTCGTGCCTCAGCCTCCTGAGTAGCTGGAACTACAGACACACACCACCATGCCTGGCTATTTTTTTTTCTTGTATTTTTAGTAGAGATGGGTTTTTGCCATGTTGGCCAAGCTGGTCTTGAGCTCCTGACCACAAGTGATCCGCCCACCTCGGCCTCTTAAAATGCTGGGATTACAGGCGTAAGCCACCACTCCTGGCCCCTCATCAAGATCTTATTGAAGCCAACTAAGCTCCAAAATCCATACTGAATATGTGAAAAAGTGAAAATATTTTGAATATCTTAATAATTATTTTAGAAATTACAGAATCAGTGGGTTCAAAAAGTAGTAATCTTTTACATTACATAATGCTTTATAGTATAAACAGTTTTTCATTCTAACTTTGAATTGTTTCAGATGGAAAAGGCAAGTATTATTTTTATTTTAAAAATAAAAGACCACAGAAATTAAGGGGAAAAAAGACCATAGAAATTAAAGGAAATGACAAAGGTTATACAGAACAAAAATCAAAGCAGTCAATAAATGGGGTTTCTTCCTATTTCCTCTCAGCCTCCTCCTCTGTCAAGTTATATTTTATCTACGAACTAGTCATAAGTTGTGTTTTTCTTTTAGTTTATTTTCATTTCCTGGAGATATTTATATTCTTCTGCATTTTAGTAAGAAACACAGTAATGTGTTTTATCTCTTCTCTACTCTTCCAAAAAGATAAGTGGTTTATAATTCTGTTTAATTTTGTGGGAGATCCCATAATTTAAAATATTAAGTGTAATGTGCTGAAATTCCTGATACTTTTTAAATTCTAGGATTTTTTTCATATTTGGAAAGCTGACTCTGACATTTAAGCTATAGAAAAAATGTTAATAAGTCTTATATTTGTCACCTTACTAAAACTAAGAAAGGTAGGAAAAGGAACAGCTGGCAGATATTTCTAATCTAAACTGTCAGACAGAGTGAGCATGAAGAGAAATCTGTTGATGTTGATGCTTTTGATCTAACCTTCCAGGCAGGGGATGGCTCTGGCAGAGAATCACTCCTGAGTACAACTTTCTGGCGGAAGCTCTAGTAAGTATCCACATCCAAAATGCCTGGAGGATCGAAAGAACTTATCTCAAAAATAAAGTTTTTTTTTCATATAAAATGCCTACTTTGAATGAATGCTTTAAAATTGCATGATACAGTACCAAAACTAATAGAAGAGATAACTCACCCTTATTATGTTCTCTATTCAGAGTTAGCAATTCCAGAAACAGAAACCAAAATGATTGATTAAAAGTAGCCACCTTATAGTATTTATATTGCACTGTAACATAGATTTCACATAGTTTTAACAAATATAAGTTGAAAAAGAACATTCCTGTTTTTGGGTTTTTTTTTTTTTTCTTAAGCCAAACACTTTCTATGTTTGGGGTTGATGAGACTTATGGGAAAACAACCAAAGTTTAATATTTGTCCCCAGAGATCAGATGCATGAAAAATATTTTATCAAATCTGGTGGGCTGAATTCCCTGTTATTTTTTCTCCCAAATTTAGCTCACATTCTGTTCAAATGATAGAAGTTTTCTTCACAGAATATTCAATGTTTAATTTTAATACTTAAATGCACATTTGAAATCCGCTCAAGTGTCCTAAAAGAAGTCATTAACTTGATTAGTTAATTGATAGTCTCTTTATGTTCTGTGTATTTTTGTTTTGTTTTGTTTTGTTTTCATGTAGAAACACATGAACGCTAGAAGCTATTTCACAAGTTAGGTTTCTCAAAGTATTTTAGGATATCATTTTCTCCTTAGATAAATGTGCTGATTTGCTTAACACTGCTTTGGAAAGCACACAAAGCAATTTGAAAAATATGCAAATATTGTGGGTTTTTTAACAGAAAAAATTAAATGTTTCCTACTTGTATGTACTGCTCTTTTTGTTTTTGAAAAAAAAATGTACAGATCCCTAAGAAAAAGACAGATAAATAACTGAGTATAATTAAAAACTTCCAAAGTAAGGGGAAATTTATTTTCAGTCAATCTTCAATGGGAACCACTGGAGAATTTTTCAATAAAACAAAAGTAGTAGTCAGAATAGCATACCACTCCCTCTTTTGGTTACATTAAAAATGTTTAAATAACTGTAAACAATTATAAGCAACCGTAATTTCCCCAGATAGTCTGTCTCATCTTCACAGTGATTCTTCCTACTAAACTAGTGAGTAGATCATGTTATTGCCTAAGGAAGTATATGACTAAATAAGTGCTTTTTATCTTTTGAATCTAGGTTTTCCCTTTTGAATGTTTATTTCTTTTTTTTTTTTTTTATTTTTTTTATTTTTTTTTTAATTTTTTTTTTTTTATTATACTTTAAGTTTTAGGGTACATGTGCACATTGTGCAGGTTAGTTACATATGTATACATGTGCCATGCTGGTGCGCTGCACCCACCAACGTGTCATCTATCATTAGGTATATCTCCCACTGCTATCCCTCCCCCCTCCCCCGACCCCACCACCGTCCCCAGAGTGTGATATTCCCCTTCCTGTGTCCTTGTGATCTCATTGTTCAGTTCCCACCTATGAGTGAGAATATGCGGTGTTTGGTTTTTTGTTCTTGCGATAGTTTACTGAGAATGACGGTTTCCAATTTCATCCATGTCCCTACAAAGGACATGAACTCATCATTTTTTATGGCTGCATTGTGGAAGTCAGTGTGGCGATTCCTCAGGGATCTAGAACTAGAAATACCATTTGACCCAGCCATCCCATTACTGGGTATATACCCAAATGACTATAAATCATGCTGCTATAAAGACACATGCACACGTATGTTTATTGAATGTTTATTTCTTAGCGTCTGTTGGTTTATACTCTCCTTATAGTTAAAATTTACCCAGCCCCCACCTCTCAATAATGTGCTTACATATATGTATAATTTCCAATCTTTGCCTTTTTAATCCTCTTAAAAAGATGTAATGCCTTGAACTCACAACTCAAAATGGAGGAAATGTACTTTCTTCTCCAGAACATGCTTTCTCATTTGATCTTAAACAAGAGCTCACCAGAGTGTTTTGAGATTCAATTTCTTCTTTCAAAAAATGACAACATTACAACCTAGATCTTCTTCACCGAAGTCTTAAAATTTTGAACATTTGTAAAGAATTAAGACCTGGAAAAGACCAATCTATGTTGTCAACATATTCACCATGATATTAATATGTGTTTTCTACAGACAAGGTGTCAAAGCAAAATTGCACTTGAGAAAATTAAACAGGCAAGGAAGAACATTTTTGAGGCTACTGCAATAGGTCAGAGAGGCCAGAACTAAGTTTGAACTCAATTCCATTGCAACAAAGGGCAGGAGGATTTTTAAAGGCTGGGCTGAGAGGGAGCTCACAGGCTGCCTGTGTTTGCTTGCTAATTGGCTTTAGAGAAAAAATAAATCTTAAAATTTATGACAGGAGGTAGGTTTTACAATTTGGAGCAAGAAGACTACCAGTTGGTCTCCTTCCCTCCCACAGAGACTGGGTGATAAGGGTGTTATCTTAGATGACATTGCAGTTATGTTTCCTAGATGCTTGATACATTTCTGGGATGTGGAACTGGCAAACGACTTTTTAAAAAATACACATCTCAAATGAGCAGAAAAGGCCTTTACAATGACAAGGTTTCTAAAATAAATGCTCTAGGAAAAGGTAGGTCAGGGTACCAGACACAGGAAAAAGCTTTTGTAAAGTTTAGTCAAACTGAGAGGATCATTACGGCCATCTTGGTTATGGAAATATAAACATAAAAACATGTAAGTCACAAAATAAAGCAGAAAGGCTTAGAAATTCAACTTTCTTCACCTATAAACAAATTTGCTCTTGCTATTATCCGATAGAACTGAAATACAGGATACAATATATCACTTTTCTAGTGATAAGCAAGTAAATAAAACGATCCCTAGCAGAGGTGAGAACAAGGAGTTTAACTACAAACAATAAGAACATGAGCTAACAAATAAAATTTATATTCAAAGTAGCATAGAAAAAGATACTTTTAAACACTTCTCCAAAGCCCTGCATAATGGTTATAATCACAGACGTTGGAGTTACACTGCTTGTTTTCAAATCCGTTAAAATTTATGTGAGCATAGGTAATTTATTTAACCTTTCTATGTCTCGAATTCCTAAATAAAACTAAAGAATGGCAATAAATTATTTCTAGCTAGTCAGTAAAATTGAGTTAATAGGTGTAAAGCACACAGAACCGTGCCTGATATAGTAAATATGTCACGAAAACAAACTCTTATTTTAGTCAAAGAATATTTGCAACTAGCAGTGGATAGCTGGGCCCCTCTCCTTCTTGGTACCACAGAATTCTGAGAAATTTTATCAGAATGATGATCAATACTTTCAATCATTTTCTCTTATTCTCTCTAGGTGTCATTGTGTTTGTTCACATACCCTTAGGACAGATGGCCTTCAGTGATAAATTCATAAATATCTCTGAACTGAGTTGAACATACTGAATAATAAGACTATAGCTGATAGAATAAAAAAACAAATCTTATGTTGTTGACATGGGATCTGGAATAATAGAAATAGGGGAGCTTTTAGTACTGTCGAGATACCAAAACAACCATCACAGACTCACTATTATAAGATGTTCCAAGACTCTTAAATGGATTTCTGCCAAGGAAATTAATGATGCCTCCTATTTCTTCCCTTTAATTATTTTCTAAGCTTTTGGCATGAATGAATAAATATTGTAGAGCAGAAGAAAGAATAACTTAGAGTTTGTATCTTAGCTCTGTTAGTTGCTATCTATGCTATCTTAAGTAAGTTTGCTTAACCTTTCTTAACACTAGTTTGATCTATTTGTTTTGAATTTTCAAAGATTGGAAAAGTAATGCATTTTAAAACATTTAGCACACTGGTGTGTGTTAAATAAATGCTATTTATCTTTCCATTAAGTTTTCACCTCCTCTTGTGTCTTTATACAAATATGTAGAAATAAATGAATTCATTCATTCACCATGTTGTGTGTTGTGCCCTCACAATGCAAGGTGCTAGGAATACAAGGGAAAGCATGGCAGACAACGGGCAGGTCTTCATAAAAGGCATATAGTCAGGTGGGGATTCATTCAAGTGATTAGTTAATTACAACTTAATGTGACAAGTGCCACGAAGAAGGACACATAACCAGTGTTCTATAGAGGAACCTAAAACCTAACCCAGACTTGTCTGGTCAGGAGAGGCTGAGTAGGGACAGCAACATCCTAACTGAAGTGATCCTTTTAAATAAAAGTAAAAGGATTACTGAAGCATACAGTTGGGAAGGGAAGGGGTAGAAGATGAAATTAGAGAAGTAGGCATGGTCCAAGACAGGAAGGGATATTTAAGCTGTGTTCTAAAAGTTTGGCTCTTATCTTGCAGGTAATGGGGAACCATCAAATGATTTTAAGCTAAGGAATGATACGACCATTGATATGATTTGGCACTGTGTCCCCACCCAAATCTCATCTGAATTTTCATCCCCACATGTCAAGGGAGGAACCTGGTGAGAGGTGATTGAATCATGGAGGCAGTTTCCCACATGGTGTTCTCATGATAGTGAGTTCTCACAACATCTGATGGTTTAAAAGTGTAACACTTTTTTCCTCACTCTCTTTCACCTGCCACCACGTAAGGCATGCCTTGCTTCCCCTTCACCTTCCGCCATGATTGTAAGTTTACTGAGGTCTCCCCAGCCACGTGGAACTGTGAGCCAATTAAACCCCTTTGCTTTATAAATTACCCAGTCTTGAGTCTTGAGTAGTATCTTTCTAGCAGTGTGAAAATGGACAAATACAACCACATATATATATATATATATAAAATATTACTTATTAAAACTTATGTGACATTTATATATTTTAGAAAGGTGATTGCAGATATAATACAGAAGATGAACCAACAGAGAATAAGGGAAGAGATGCATTTGAATATATTTTAGTGATTGAGGCTGGAATTTAAGATGAGCTGGAATTTAAGATTATTTGAACTAAGATAGTAGAGGTAAGAATGTAAATAAGCAGATGAATTCAGGATGTATGTAAGCAGTACCATTAACATGAACCAAGGTGAGAATTCAAGAATAGCACTTAATTTTCTGGCTTGGGCAATTGAACGTGATCATGCTCTAGATGAAGAGCAATGGAGAAAAACATTGGGGTTGAGGAAGGCAAATGTAAATAGCCCATCTTTTTGATATATCAAATTTGAGGTGTTTATGGGGTATTCAACTGTCATATTTAATGATAATTTGAATATACAGTCCCAGAATGTAATGCTAGAATATACACAGATCTTGAAACCAAGAGCTAGATGAAAGTGTCTAGTGTTAGATTACAGAATAAGAAGATATGGACATAGGACAAAATGCTAAGGTGTTTCAGTATTTGAGAGGTAAGGGGAAAGAACTCTTAAAGACAACTAGAAGAGAGTGAGGAAAAAGGTAGAGAAATACTATATACATGTTCTATGAGAGAAGCTAAGAAAACAGAACATTCCAAGCAGATTTAAACAGCCAAGAGCTTGAGTAGATCATTTTAACACAAGTTCTAAAAGAGTCTGTATGAGTGAATGGCAAATTAAGATAAAATAACAGAAATGAATGCGATGTTCAAAATTTTAAGAAGTATAGATAAATACCCTATTAAATGACAAATATTTCATTACCAAAATCCAATTATATGCTATGTGTCAAAAAACAACTCAAATTTTGAAAATAAAGAATATGCAAAATATGGTAGGCAATGACAAAAAATAAAATTGGCAATGTTATGCAATATAAAATAGAATTAAAGGTCAAATTTAATAAAGATAAATATTTTACATTGTTAAAAATTATAAATCTTCAGGACAATTATACTACAATGAACTTTAACACACACTGTAGCATTATATGTGCAATGTAAATGATGTATTTGAAAAACACTGTCATAGTAGGACAATTGGCAAGCCTTTCTTAGCAACTAAAAATTCATACAAGAAAATACACAAAATAAACGGCTTCATTTAATAGAATAATATAGACAACTGAAGATACAGAAAAAAATGTTATGATTTTTCAAGTTCTCCATAAATATTTGTAAAGGAAGCATGTTTTAGCTCAGAAGAAAAAATATTTGTGGTTTCCAAAATGTAGACGCTATCCACACATTATTTCTCCATAATGAAATATAATTATAAAATAACAAAATATGCTTCAAAATAATTACTGAGTTAAAAATAAACTGAAATTTTGAATTATACTTCTTAGAACCAAATTATGACCAGAACCACATATTAATACCTGTGTGATCCAATAAACACAGTACTTGGAAAAATGTATTTATAGTTAATAAATTCATCTACAAAAACAGAATATTTAAAATAAATGTACAAACATTCAAATTAAGTTAGAGAAAATTTCAAATAAAAATTTCAAAGACAGTAGAAAGGCAGTTTTTATGGCCGGGCGCGGTAGCTCACGCCTGTAATTCCAGCACTTTGGGAGGCCGAGGCAGGTGGATCATGAGGTCAGGAGTTCGAGACCAGCCTGGCCAACATGGTGAAACCCTGTCTCTACTAAAAATACAAAAATTAGCCAGGCCTGGTGGCGGGTGCCTGTAATCCCAGCTACTCAGGAGGCTAAGGCAGGAGAATCGCTTGAACCTGGGAGGCAGAGGTTGCAGTGAGCCGAGATCGCGCCATTGCACTCCAGCCTGGGCAACAAGAGCAAAACTCCGTCTCAAAAAAAAAAGAAAAAAGAAAGACAGTTTTTTACAAGATAAAGCCCCAAAGTAATAAAGTAAAAAACAAAAGGCAAAACAATAAGTAATATGATAGAAAATAAAAATCATAATGACCAAACCACAGTTATTAAGATCTCATTCCTCAGTTGTCTAAGACGGGTAGCCAGTTCCCACTCTAACTTATCCCTGGAGAAATTATTAGAATTTAATCTAGTCCTGGTAAGATTCATTATAAGCATAAGCACATTTCTAATATGAGCCAATGAGAAGCCACAAGCTAGTAAGGGTAATTCACCAGGCCCAATGGAGATAATTTCCTAATCTGTTAAAACATTATGAAAATACAATTACTGTGAAAACTAGTAAATTCTTCAAGTGCACAAATTCTGGCAACACTTGCATCTTTATTTCTGTTAGAAAATCCAGAGCTAAAATCATGATGAATAAGCAGAGCAGCCGTCTCTAAATCCACTCTCCATCCCCCCAAAAAAGCCTGAGGCCTTTCAGTCATTTAAAGTAGTCCCAAAATATTTAGGATAGGAAGGCGGGGAGGACACATTAATATATACACAGGAGGATTCCTCTGACATAAGGGTAATAGATTTTATAAGTAAGACCTTTTTGGTGCTTTAATAAATAAGCAGAGTCAGATGGGACCTTCAAGAGATCTGAAATAGGAGGTAGATTGTAGTCAAGAGAAGAGCACAGATTTTAGAGCCAAGTAAATCTGGTTTTGATTCTCAGTTCTTTCGCTGATTAGCTATGTGAAATTAGCCAAGTCTTTCAACCTCTCTAAGTCTCGATAATTGCACCCATAAAATAAAGATCATAGTAATCCTTTGGCAACATTCTGGCAATTAAGGATAATGTAAATATATGGAATAAAGATAATGTAATATTTAAAGATAATAATATGAAGCAACTAGCATGTTGACTTGCACTCAATAAACATAAGTTTGTACTATATACTACTGATAAATAATAGTACATTAATTACAATATTTGTGCAAGTACATTAACATAGCCAATGAATAATACTGAGTTCCTTGCACTATGTAGGTGATAAAGATGGAGGGCTGAACAAAGCTGACAATGTCCTGTCTCCTCTTAGTACATAATGTCTGAATTGAAATTTGAGGGACCACATTTTTCCTACTCAATTCAAGAAGAGGCAAATGCTTTTCTCTCCTCTGAGTTTCCTGTATATTCCTTAATTGTCAGCTGTTTCACTACATCATACTGCGTCATGCATTTACCTATCTTGCCAATTGTGTGCTTCTTGAGATCAGAGTTAAGGTTTCATGTGCAGATGTTTTATCCAGGAACAGCAAACTTCCAGGTACAGAGCAGGCAATTTGTCAATAAAATTGAATTGAATTTCTTAAGATAGTTTATTTAGATCAAGATCTATAGCACTGCAAATGTTACCCTTATATAACCAAGTTTACCAGTTTGAGGTTTCTGTGGAAATATTAAAGGATGTTGAATGATCTTGTATAGGTTCTTATTTCAGTGGGGACTGAAATTCCTGAGCATCTTTTTACTGAACATTTAAAATAATCTCTTTTTAGATACCAAACTCTGAAATTAAAGGATAAATAAGACCAGGTTCTTAAAGCATTGCGTTAATTAATATTTTTATGATTTTTCTAAGAGTCAGGAAACCTATTTCAAGTCCTGGCTCCATCGTTCACTAGTTAGGTGATATTATATATATATATATATATATATATATATATATATATATATATATATATAAAACTTTCTGAGTCAGATTTCTCATGTACAAAATAGGTGTACTATACCTGCTTATTTCAGAAAACATGGATGTATGATTCAGATGAGACAAAATCCTTAAAAGCAGTCTTCAAAACGATAAAAGGATATAGGTATGAAAGTTATCTATTATTTGGAAACATGGTTTTGAAAATTATATATGACAATCATTTTATATTTTGTAACAATATGTAATATATACACACAATTTTGCATTTTAGTATATATTTTATGATTAAAACATAGGAAAAACAGAAAGCAATATCTGAATGTCCTTTATTCTCTGTTCTATTGTCTATAGTGAATATTTTATCACTGAACCCTCTACTATTTACATATTTCTACAAAATATAAACGTTATCCTGAGCTGGATTGACATGAAAAGCAATTCATTGCCACTGATATTTATACTTTCAAATCATAAAAATATTAATTAAAGCAATGCTTTAAGAACCTGGTCTTTTTTATCCTTTAATTTCAGAGTTTGGCATCTAAAAAGAGATTATTTTAAATGTTCAATAAAAAGATGCTCAGGAATTTCAGTCCCCACTGAAATAAGAACCTGTACAAGATCATTCAAATTACACTTTGTATAAAGCTATTTAATCTGATCATCAAAATACAAAAATGAAAGCCATTAGCAGCATCTGATTAAAATAATGGTGTAGCATACTTGATTATATTTGCTCATTACTTTTCTTTATATTTTTCATGTTGTGTTATAAAATGAAATAGTCACAAGACCTGCATATGAGAACTGCAGCTAAAGGTCAAGGCTTCCTGAAACAGCTTCAGTAAACATTCTTAAAGTTGTAAGTTGTTCTTCCATTTTTTAGAGATCTAAAAGGACAGGTTGAGTGGAGAAATAACCATAGTGATGGATTCCCTTAAGAGAGACACAGTGGTTTGAATTTGTTAGAAAATTTGATTGAAAATAAGCTTCAAGAGATTATTTTTAACCTACAAATGCATAATTTATAATTCTACTTTCATATCTCTAAGGGAAAAAACAGACCTGTAGATGATTACTTTTATTTTTACGGTGTGTATATGGTCGCCCAAGTAATAATTTTTAAAAGTATTTTTGATCTGGAAGATAAAATCCTGACCTTGATATTAAAAATTATCAAGGCAGATAACGCTGCTCATCTAAATTGAAGGATTATCACTATTAAACTGCACATGTATGTTTCCGTAGGAGATCTATAATCCCCAATTTTGGGAACAATAATTTTCATTTTTATTTGCCTGTCAAACATCGATGATTCAGATTAACTTGACAGCCTTATGAGACACAATAATTCTGCCCAATTGAATGCAGCAGGGCAGGGATTATCTACCAAGAAGCCATAATAAAATTAGAAATATCATTGAAATATTCAGCTATTCCATTAATGATATCATTTTGTTCCTAGATTAAAGCATTCTTCTTTGTGTATTAAAAAATAATAATCTTCAGTAACCAAATTAACTTTAAGATCACTCTGCCTCTCTTTAGTTTTCATTTTTCCAGAAATAGAAACTAGTCTTTTGGTGTACAGTAAGATGCAGTTGCTAAAAAATAAAGGTCACATTGAAATTTGGGCTGACGAGTTATAGCCTAATTATGGACCTGTGTCAAAACACAAAGAAACAAAATAACCCTCAACGAGGTATAAAGATTTTACACATCTTCTGTGATTCTGTTTATAATTGGCATCAACAGACTTCTCCAGGTACCACTAATTCTCTTCCCCATCAAAAATGTTACTCACTTTAGGACAAATAATTTTTTTTTTTTTTTTGAGACAGGGTCTCATTCTATCACGCAGGCTGAAGTAGTGCAGTGGCACAATAATAGCTCACGGCAGCCTCGACCTCCCAGGCTCGAGTGATCCTCCCACCTTAGCCTTCCTAGTAGCTGAAACTACAGATGCTTGCCACCACACCCAGCTAATTTTGTTTTTAGTTTTTGTAGAGACAGAGTCTCACTATGTTGCCTGGGCTTGTTTTGACTCCTGGCCTCAAGCGAGCCTCCTATCTGAGCCTCCCAAAGTGCTAGGATTACAGATGTGAGCCACCACGTCCAGCCCAACAATGAAATATCTAAAAGAAAAATGAAGTTGTTTGTTTCTTAAGTGTTTGTGAAAGATACACAACTGTTTAAGAAAAGATTGGCATTGTTTACTGCTTTGCCCTGAATTTCAGGAGAAGCATCTGGGAAACTTGACGAGTAGTGGGTGAAAGGCCAGGAAAGAGTAGGCAAGGCTGATATAACTCTGGACAGATGACCATATGTTGGAAGGGATGGGAGATGACAGGGTCCTATGGTGGCTATATCTTGAAAATTGAGCAGCAGCCAGAAAGTATGGACACAAAAGGTGAACAGGTTTTGACAGTTTAACAGGGGAAGGCAGGACTCTTGTCCTTGTACAAAGAGTTCCTCCCAAAGGGCCATCCATCACAGTTCCTGGGAAAACACAGCAGGTGGAAGTACAAGCTATTAGAGGGTTCATCGTTTTTCTTTTCTTTCCTTCTCTTCTAGACACAAAGGCAGGGCAAAGAGTTTAGGCTTATTTAGTAAAAGAGAAAATTTACTAGATAGCATATTGAAGTGCCTTACCCCAGGTAAGAGGCCTGTTTCTGGAAACTTAGGGTAATCTGTTTTTGTTTGGTTTTGTTTTTTAAGAAAGGGCACATTTTAAATTGACTTATGGCAGTTATTGTTCCATTATTTTGAGAGGTTTAGCTCCCACTTATAAGTGAGAACGTGTGACATATGGTTTTCTGCTTTTGCATTAATTCACTTAGGAAAATGGCCTCCAGATGCATCCATGTTGCTGCAAAGAACCAGATTTTGTTCTTTTTTTATGGCTGCATAGTATTCTATGGTGAATATGTACCACAACTTCTTTATTCTACCATTGATGGGCACTTGGGTTGATTCCATGTCTTTGCTATTGTGAATAACACACTGATAAACATAAAAGTACATGTGTCTTTTTGACAGAATAATTTGTTTACTTCTGGGTATATCCCCAGTAATGGGACTGCTGGGTCAAATGGCACTCTGTTTTAAGTTCTTTGAGAAATCTCCAAACTGCTTTCCACAGTGGCTGGATTAATTTACATTCCTACCAGTGTATAAGTGTTTTCTTTTCTCCACAGCCTCACGAGCATCTGTTGTTCTTTGACTTTTTAATCATAACCATTCTGACTGGTGTGAGATTGTGTCCTATTGTGGTTTTGATTTGTACTTTTCTGATGATTAATAATGCTAAGCATTTTTTCATGTTTGTATGGCCACTTGTATGTCTTCTTTTGAGAACTGTCTGATCATATCCTTTGCCCATTTTTATATGGGTTTTGTTGTTGTTGTTGTTGTTCCTTACAAGCTTTTAAATATTCATTTAAAAAGAAAACAGTAAGTTTACATAGGTAAATACTATGGAAGGGTTACCAATTATTATTCTCCACTTTGATGTAGGCACTATGAAGGAAAATATTTCCATCTTTTTTCTTCCCTTCAGGATTCCCAGCAATAGAAAAGTGCCACGCAAATAGTAGGCAATAAATATATGATGAATGAATATAGATAGGAAAGAGAGAGGGAAGAAAGGAAAGAAGGAAGGAATCTTTATTTTCATAAGAATTACAACTGACATGTAATAACATTACATGAAAGTTATTAATGTTAATGTCTCGACTTATTCCGGTGTATTTGAATATCATTTGTCTGATTAAATTGATTGTTTCAAATTAAATAAGAAAGCATAGATTCTGTAGCCTTTGGATGAATATTTCTTTGATTCATTCTCCTTCACATACTGGGGTAAATTTTGATCAACTGTTGACTTATCTTTAAATTGTTTATATTATCACCAACTCTAGGTCTATATTTTCCTTTTACTTATATGGAGATTTATTAATTTTAGAGGAGAACTAAGCTCTACATGGACACTTAGGAGGATAAAACGTAACATGGTGGTGACCTCTAGTCAGCACAGCTTGAGAGGTGTAAAATATTTTGTATTTCCCTTCAGGATATGTAAATGTTTTGAAAATGTCATAAAATGCACACTTTTGCTCAAAAGGCTATTTTCATTATTGATGAATGGTATAGTAGAATGTTATAAGGCTAGTGAGCCTGTTTTTATAGCATTTTCAAATGAGATTTGTCATCACATAACAATGACCCTTAAGAAGCCAACTGTGGACTTCCAGTTTCAAGATGATGAAGATATATCGTACTCTTCTCTCAGAAATTACTTCTAAGAGAACAAGAGGAACAAAACACAGAAAGAGAACCTCCCTCTTTGGCAAAAACAGAAAATATCTTAACCCTGAATCACAGTATCTGAAGATAAAAAATCGAAGGAAATACTACTAAAAAGAAGAAAAATCATACCTAAAGTGTCGGAGGAAAGGTATAAATAGAAGAAAGCCTATATGTCACCACAGAACTCTAGAAACTCAGGATTGGAGGCCTAATGAACCCAAGGCAGCATTCAAGCATTCATGTTGGAACCTGAAAAGAAGCAGATTTTCTTTTTCGTTTTTTTCAAAGTCTGTATGAAGAGCAGTTAGACCACCAAATTCTCACTCCCAGCCTATTTTGTTAGGCAGCTACCCTGCCTGTCAGCTGCTGAAAAAAAGAGACTTACATTCTGGATCTAAACAGGCTTCAGACTGAAAGATTGCAAGTAAAGTAGGAAAGTGAAATATGTACTAAAATCTAAGAGATTAAGTGCAATTCTGCATCTAGGACAATGAAACTACCAGTTATACTTAAGGTGAAGTATCAATATAAATGATTTGGAATTATTTGTATGGAGGATTTGTCTATTCTCTCCTGTTAATTTATGTTACGTTTACAATCACTTATTTATGTCACCATAGACAAATGGATATATATATTTTACACTTTGGGTTATAATCCAATACTATTTTTGTTTATTTGATTGATCAGATTGTTCCAGCTTTGGCCATTGGTTGCTCTTTCAGTGTGTCCCTGTGTTCTTTTGACACACCCTCATTATCGAGTTGTTGTTTTAGCACTTCCTTCCTTTCTGTTACTGCAACATGCTCCCAGCTTATCTCAGATCTCTCTTTCTCAGTCTTAGAGTCAGCTATTTCTCAAAGGAGTCTTGTTGTCATATGTATTATGTGCTTTGTATTAGAAACCAAATTCTGTATGCTAGGTGTGCTATCTTTCTCTTTTTGATTTCCAGTTTAATTCCATTGTGGTCTGAGAACATACTTTGGATGATTTTTATTATTTAAAATGTGTCAGGTTATGCTTTATGGTCCAGAATGTGGTCTATATCCTGGTGAATATTCCATAATATGATGAGCTTGAAAAGAATGTGTATTGTATTCTTGTTGTATGGCATATTATATAAAACATTGACATAATTCAGATCATGAGGTCAGGAGTTTGAGACAAGCCTGGCCAACATAGTGAAACCTTTTCTCTACTAAAAATGCAAACGATTAGCCAGGAGTGGTGGCAGGTGCCTGTAATCCCAGCTACTCAGGAGGCTGAGGCAAGAGAATCACTTGAACCCAGGAGGCGGTGGTTGTAGTGAGCCGAGATCGCGCCATTGCATTCCAACTGGGCAGCAGTGCGAGACCCCGTCTCAAAAAAATAAATAAAATAAAATAAAAAATAAAAATTGACATAATTGTATGGCAAGTTTGTTGATAATGTTTGTTGTTCAGGTCAACTGTATTCTTAATGTTTTTCTGCCTGTTTGACTTACCACTTACTGACAAGAGGCATTGAAGTTTTTAACTACGGGAATGGATTTGTCTATTTCTCCTTTCAGTTCTAAGAGTTTTTGCCTCACATAGTTTGATGTTTTACTGGTAGGTGAATCAATGTTTAAGATTGTTCTGTCTTCCTGGAGAATTTATTTCTTTATCATTACGAAATACCCCTCTTTATCTTTGATAATTTTTACTGTTCTGAGGTCTGCTTTGTCTGAAACTAATATGGTTACCCCAGCTTTGTTTTTACTGTTGTTGGCATGTAAGGCATCATCCCTTAACCTGTAACTGATCAGAGTCTTCACGTTTAATGTGGGTTTCTTACAGACAACATATAGTCAGGTTTTATTTTTTTAATCTACTCTGACAATCTCTGTCTTTTAATTGGCATATTTACCAATCACACTTAAAGTGGTTATTGATATATTTCTTTTCATGTAAACCATAGTACTTGTCTAGTCATTGCCAGAGGCTTCTTTTCCTGCCTTTTCTAGTTTTAATCATGCATTTTATGCTTCTATTTTACCTACTCTTTTAGCAGATCGATTATATTTACTAAAAAAGACTTTCAGTGGTTGTTCCAAGTCAGCAGGAACTCTGGAACTGTCTGCATTTGCCTCTCTCTGTAGATTTTGAGGTGGATTTTCCCTAAAATTTCAGTTGTCCCATGGGTCCAGGAAAAGCTATTGATTTTCAAGTTTTCAGGTTTTTCTAATTATGCTGATATTATAAGGAGAGAAATGACAATTCCCAAGCTCTTTACATGTCAGAGCTTGGAATTGTCATTCTTATCCTTATAATATTCAAAATAAAATGGAAAAAACTAACCTCAAAATCAAACAATACTGCATTTTGGTTTTACAATCTTTTGAAATACATGATGTGAATGATATGCAGAAAACAAAATACTATGTGCTCTGATAATTATTTACAAACCACTTCCAACTATATCTATTTGGCTCAAATACCTCTTAAGGGATATTGACAATTATAATGCTAACTATGTCATAGGCTTCATATTAACCATTCTCAAAATATAGAAAAGGAGAGATTTTTAACTTTTATAGAGTAAATATAAAAAGAAACTGATGATAAACATCAATGAACTGCTTTTAGTTTTTTTAATTATATTACTTTTAAAGTAAACATTTTATGAAAGGTATTCCTAAAACAAGCACTTATCTCAATCAAACTTTTTAAATATATTTATAACTTTAGTGATGTTTGCAGCTTTAGCAGATGTTAATTATCTTATTGAAGCTAGCTCCAACTTACAGATTTTCATGACGCATTGATAATTATTTGAGTTGAAATTATGATACTAATTAAGTACTATATACTTTTAGTATGTGATTGTAAGAAAAATAAAGATACTTTAATGAATCCATGAATAATGCACACATGGGACTAACATCAAGAATAAACTATTATAATACACATTAGAATGATAGTGACAGTAGATAATGGAATAGGGTAGCACGGAGAACTTTTGTTCCATTGTTTCATTTCTCGTCATGTAAGTTACCTAATTCACACCTAGAAAATCACAATACGAATGGGTTTTTCAACAAGGTTATATCTTTCAGCTTTCATATATAAGAACATTTTCTCCAAAAATATTTATAAGTCCAGTTAATATGCAAAGTTACCATATTTCACCAGACTTAAAAATGCTTAGCTACAAGCCAATACTAAAAAATGTATAACAGTGTTAAGGGTAATAGGAACATTACAAAGTAGCACTTTCCCTCTCATAAATAACCTAAAGTACTGTGAAAGTTCTCTTATCCCTACCTTTTTTTTACTTTAATAAAAAAAATTAATTTGGAAACTTTTACTTAACATTCAATCTGGTAGCATCTATAGAAATATCAGAAAATCAGACCACATTAGACCAGAATTCCTACATAGTAACTAACAATCATCTAGAGCAAAATATATGTTCAGATCTCTACATACTGGAATGGTTAATCAATAAAGGACAGAGGTTTGGCTTTAAATTTTAAGTAGTCCTCTTTAGCGCAAAAACAGTTTTCAGGGTCTTTTTCATTGTTCAAATGTAACTTATGTTTACCTATTTTTAATTGAGGAAAGACTGAATGCAAGGGCAAGTGTTTTAGATTGATCATTTAAATCCTTGGCTCACTCTTGATGCAACTTAATACATGTTTTATACAGCTATGTACTTGAAGACTCAATTGATTCTGAGAAATATTTCTTACTGCAAGTTTGTTTCATTCCCTTACCTTATCTGCCTGTCCTCTGAGACCATTTGAATTCAGAATCTCTGCTTTATACTCAGATCATCCTAGGTTAAATCTCAGTTCTGCCACTTAAAAGTTGGCAAGACTTTGGGCAACTCAATCAACTTCTTTGAGTCTCAATATTTAAAAAAGATAATTTAAATGTGTCATCGGTTTGCATTTCATCAGGAAAACAGAGCCACTATGAGCCTTATGGGCTCATTTAAGAGCTTTCACTGGATTAATTCAGACCCACCCAGCAGAATCTTTCTTTTGATTAACTCAAAACCAACTAATTTGGGACGTAAATTACACCAGGAAAAAACAAAACATCATCTTTGCCATTTAATGAAACCTAATTAAGAGAGTGATTACCTATCAGCTTTGCCCTATTTTATTGACTAGAACAAGTCATAAGTTTAAACTGTATTTAAGAGAAGGGAATTGTACAAGAACATGACTTATACAGTGCCCTCCATAGAGTGATTTCTTCACTCAAGAGACTTTTCAGAGACTATGCTCAAAATCCTTGGTCCCCAAATTCTCTATTACAAATAAATCCGTAAGAAATAATTATTATGCATCAACATGAATTTATCTCTATGATGTCAAAAATTAAAAGCAACATAAATGTTCAAATGTAGAGAATAGCTAAATAAATTGTATTTATTTATACTATGATATTCTATAGCACCTTTATTATGTCATTTTAGAGACGACCATTGAGCCTAATGTAGAAAGTATGTTTAGAAGTACCTCTGCATAGAGAAAAAAAGCCCATAAAACAACATTTTAATGGTGTTTTAAATAATATGTTAGCATTTTGTTTTATATATACATTAAAACATATGATTATGTGTGTGAATATTTGTATAATGTAACAGAAACACACTTATTTAATTATACCATTTGAACATAGCCTTTTCTTCTGCTGATGTGGCAGCATAAGGAAGAGTGAGAGGGCCAGTGTGTCACACTGCCTCAGTTCCAAGCCTGAGTCCACAACCTACCAATCTGTGACATTGGACAGGAAGCTTAATTCTGTCTCAGTTTATTAGCTACAAAGGGAACATTTTTATAGGGCTATTCTAAGCATTCAATGAGATAATGTATAAAGACAGTACAAGGGCTAACAGAGAGAAAATAATGCACAATTTTAACTATTAATTCACACAGTGACCAAAAATATGTGGAAGAATTGGATCAGCAACATGAAAGATAGAATGACCTGGATTATGTGAGATAAATTTCTCACAATTTGGTCACGTATTTTTTAATAATTCTATATGAGCCTAATTTAGTCAATCTACAATAAATATTATTGACCTCTCCTTTCCAACACAAAATAAAACAAATTATTTGAATCATTACCTAGTATAATGTGCTATAGAGAGAAAAATGAGTCTCAACAACTGACATATAAATAAGATATATTAGTCCATTTTCTAATAAAATGGTAATAAAGGCATACCTGACTAATTAAATAAAGACATACCCTGCTAATAAAGACATACCCGACACTGGAAAGAAAAAGAGGTTTCATTGGATTTACAGTTTCACATGGCTGGGGAGGCCTCAGAATTGCGGTGGGAGGTGAAAGGCACTTTTTACATGGTGGCGGCAAGAGAAAATGAGGAAGAAGCAATAGCGGAACCCCTTGATAAACCCATCAGATCTCATGAGACTTACTATCACGAGAATAGCATAGGAAATACCAGCTCCCATGATTCAGTTACCTCCCCCTGGGTCCCTCCCACAACATATGGGAATTCTGGGAGATACAATTCAAGTTGAGATTTGGATGAGGACACAGCCAAACCATATCATTCCAACCCTGGCCCCTCATGTCCTCACATTTCAAAACCAATCATGCCTTCCCAACAGTCCCCCAAAGTCTTAATCATTTCAGCGTTAACCCAAAAGTCCACAGTCCAAAACCTCATCTGAGACAAGGCATATCCCTTCCACCTATGAGCCCGTAAAATCAAAAGCAAGCTAGTTACTTCCTAGATCCAATGGGGATACAATTCCTAGATCCAATGTAAATACAGCTGTTCCAAATGGGAGATATTGGCCAAAACAAAGGGGTTACAGGGCCCATGCAAGTCCAAAATCCAGCGGGGCACTCAAATTTTAAAGTACTGAAATGATCTCCTTTGACTCCAGGTCTCACACCCAGGTCATGCTGATGCAAAATGTGGGTTCCCATGGTCTTGGGCAGCTCCACCCCTGTAGCTTTGCAGGGTACAGGCTCCCTCGTGGCTGCTTTCATGGGCTGGCATTGAGTGTGTGTGGCTTTTCCAGGCACATGGTGCAAAATGCCAGTGGATCTACCATTCTGAGGTCTGGAGGATGGTGGCCCTCTTCTCATAGCTTCACTAGACAGTGTCCCAATAGGGACTCTGTGTCGGGGCTCTGACCCCACATTTCCCTTCCACACTGCCCTAGCAGAAGTTCTTCATGCTCCTGCAGCAAACTTTTGCTTGGGCATCCAGGTGTTTCCATACATCTTCTGAAATCTAGGTGGCGATTCCCAAACGTCGATTCTTGTCTTCTGTGCACCCATAGGCTCAACACCACATGAAAGCTGACAAGGCTTGCAGCTTCCATCCTCTGAAGACACAGCCCAAGCTGTATGTTGGCCCCTTTCAGCCACGGCTGCAGCAGCTGGGACACAGAGACAAGTTCCTAGGCTGCACACAGCACAGGGACACTGGGCCTGGCCCACAAAAACCACTTTTTCCTCCTGGGCCTCCAGGCCTGTGATGGGAGAGGCTGCTGTGAAAGTATCTGACCTGCCCTGGAGATATTTTCCCCATGGTCTTGGGGATTAACATTAGGCTTTTTGCTACTTATGCATATTTCTGCAGCTGGCTTGAATTTCTTCTCAGAAAATGGGTTTTTCTTTTCTACTGCATCATCAGTAGAAAATTTTTGAACTTTTATCCTCTGTTTCCCTTTTAAAATGGAATGCTTTTAACAGCATCCAAGTCACCTTTTGAATGCTTTGCTGCTTAGAAATTTCTTCTGCTGGATACCTTAAATCATTTCTCTCAAGTTTAAAGCTCCACAAATCTCTAGGGCAGGAGCAAAATGCTGCCAGTCTCTTTGCTAAAACATAACAAGAGTCGCCTTTGCTCCAGTTCCCAACAAATTCCTCATCTCCATCTGAGACCACCTCAGCCTGGATTTTACTATCCTTATTGCTATCAGCATTTTGGGCAAAGCCATTCAACAACTTTCTAGGAAGTTCCAAACTTTCCCACATTTTCCTGTCTTCTTCTGAGCCCTTCAAACTCTTCCAATCTCTGCCTGTTACCCAGTTCCAAAGTTGCTTCCACATTTTTGGGTATCTTTTCAACAATGCCCCACTCTACGGTACCAATTTACTATATTAGTCCGTTTTCATGCTGCTGATAAAGACATACCCAACACTGGGAAGAAAAAGAGGTTTAACTGGATTTACAGATCTACATGGCTGGGGAGGCCTCAGAATCATGGTGGGAGGCAAAAGGCACTTTTTACATGGTGGCAGCAAGAGAAAATTAGGAAGCAGCAAAAGCGGAAACCCCTGATAAACCCATCAGATCTCCTGTGACTTATTCACTGTCACAAGAATGGCACAATAAAGACCAGCCACCATGACTCAATTACCTCTCCTTAGGTCCCTCCCACAACACGTGGGAATTCTGGGAGATACAATTCAAGTTGAGATTCAGGTGAAGACACAGCCAAACAATACCATAAGAAAAACTGATGTGGGAAGTAATTAGCCTTGGTAGGATGTATTCAGCACAAAATAAAACTGATACTTTCCAAAACTGCCCTGGTGAAATGTGGTCTCATTTTAAAATAGCAGAAGAGCCAAATTTTCTTTATAAGATGTCAATCTATAAGTAGTACCAGAAAGCATGGACTAGGTAGCAATAATGATTTCAAAAGAAAGTTGATAATAGTAGAACCTAGGAGCGATTATGAAAAATTTATTTGATTTGAAGAAAAGACTAAGATTTAAATCTAAGTCTATTGTTTTTCCCACAATATCTTATCACCTCTAATAGCAAAAAACAAACTAAGAAAGACCATATGGCTAAATAATATATTTTCATGATCTAAAAGTTTTATCTTAAGGGAGAGTATTAAGGAGTAAAGGAGTAAAACCAACCCTGGACCCCACATTGAGGGTGAGCCTGATATAATGGGATAACCCAGTCATTTCCCAGCTGGGCATCAAGAGCTCCTGACTGGGCTTTCCACTATAAGATGCATAAAATAAATGAAAAGCCAAAAACATTTTTATTTTATTTGTAGCTGTTAAAGAAAAAAATATTATGACAATTGCAAAAATGGAAAGGTTGACTCTATTCAAGTCTATCACAATAAGTATAGGGACTACTACAACGGAGTTTTGCCTTAAAGGAGAAAGACTGGGCTCAATTCTGAATATAATAAAGAAAAATTGTGATTTATAACCAAGGACAAGGGTGGTGGGGGTAGGGGTAGGGAGGTCAGTAGACATAAAATTCCTAAGAGGGTAAGGTGATTCTTGCTAAGTTAACCTAATAGGATTCTTGCTGAAGGCAGGTCAGGGTGATGAGATATTACCTGGGGAATTGCGCAAGATGAGGAATTTGCTTAGATATTGAGGGTGATCAGATCTTGAAGGTGGGGAATTTGGCAAAATCAACCTGACAGGATTCTTGGTAAAACTGGGTTATTGAGAGCATGTCCATGGATGGGGCCTAGTCAGGTTCAGAGAAGCCTGCCTAGAGTTTAGGCAAGAAAAGAATTTTTGTAATAGCATTATTAAATAACCAAGTATAACTGCTGTGAAATAAAGAACCAGGGCATAAATGAAATCTGCTCTTACACTAACCACAGAAATCAGTGGAGAGTGTCACAGGAACAGGAAAGTGGATGATTTCTGAGGAAAAGAAAAAAAGCATTGGGTCACAAAATAACTTACATATGCCCTAAACTATTGGCAAAGTTTTCACTGGCACCAAAATTTTGCACTTGAATTAATTTAATGTTTTGAATGTCATAGATTCCTGCCTTTTGAAGACCATAGAAATGTAATCACATACTGGGCAGCATAGGCATTTGCGAGCTCTTGATGGTTTAAAATCTCTCAGTTTGCAAAAATCACAATTCCACATATAACCACAGATTTTATTTATTTAGTTTTTTACATCCAGTGAGTTGTTTTGGTACCATAGTGAATAAATGAAAGATATAAACAATGCCCTTTGTCTCTCGCTCTCTCTCCCTCCTTTTTGATCAACTTTTGGTTGCCAAAAGTAGATGTGAAGCAGAATGCAAATAATGAGTATATAAAATTAGAACACAAATTATATACATATATATAATTATATACATAAATCCTAAACATATACATCTATTTGGATTTCATGTGCTTTCTCAATTTGGATGGGATTAAGAACATAACGTGAAAGTGGGTGTCTGAGGAGAGGCAGCACCCAGATTGAAGTCAGCATGCCCGCTTTTTGGCTCTACATATTCCAGGAACAAATCTGGGCTGTGGCATCTTTGTAAACTCTCTATAAACTGACAATGTGACACTAAAGAATGGGATTTTCACATCACCTAAAATTCTATGTGATATAAGCATAATATTCAAAACCATAGTATGGATTTAGACAAATAGAGTGCCAAAATCTCTTTCCCTGGAAAAAGAAATTGAGAAATATAAAAATGGAAGGCTTTATGTAAAACTGAATCATTAATACTAGCTCTGCATATCTCTTCTTCTAGGAAGGCATCCCAACATTCTCAATTACATCTCTCCTTAATGTGGCATTACCATTTTAGACATGTGCTGTTTATGGCACATAACACATTGTTGTAATCATCTCTTACAAGGTGGCATCTTCTACTATACTGGGAATATCTAAAAGCAAAACCACCATTTCAAGTCCTTGCAGAGTCAGTACCTAGCAATGAACATATAACATGTAGTCAATATGTGGTCACATTAATAAATGTATGAATTAATTATTTAGTTGTGCTTAACACAATAAATAGCTACCAAGAACAAAATACATCAATCTCTCTCTCTTGTCCCCATATTTTTTCCAAAAATAGTAAATTAAGTTTTCAGTAGAATTTTATTTACTCTCTTTATCCATATATATGTATATATGTGTGTATATATATGTGTGTGTATGTATATACATACACACAAATACACTTCAGAATATATATTATATATTAAGCATATATTTCTTTGACCAAAGATGTATTTACATGCTGGTTAAACTAATAGGAAATCCTCACTGCTGAAATTTTCTCAGAATCAAATATTCCAGTTTTAACCCAGAAAGACTTTTATCTAAGCTAGAATCTTCTTTGCATATTTTTCTGTCTAACAGATCATTTACGTATAAAGATAGAAACCCTGAAGCAAGCCAGACTAAATCTTAAATTTAAAAAAATTATATGCAGTCCATGATCACCTTGAAAACAAGTTTGGAGTCATTGCGGTCATATAAAATACAGCTATACAGAAATATAGAATGTGAATTTAACAAGTTTGAATTTATAAAAAAGACAATGAAAATTATCTGCTGTGTTTGTAAAATCCTTTATGCTTTATGATGTACTTCTGATACATTAACTCTTGATCTTTACAAGAATTCAGTGCATGCTTTCTGTTTTGCCAAGGCATAAACTAAGCCTCAGTGAAGTAAATGCCCTGCTGGCATTCATGAAAATGACAGTTGGTAGAGCTGAAACTACAGCTGAGGCCTCCTGATGCAGAGTTCACTTGTCTCTGCATCAAACCCCAGTATGTTTTTGTTACATAGCAATTTAGATAAATAAATATATTTTAAGTATACATTTTGTATATATTACTATGGACAATAATTCTATTTTTAGTGTTTTCCTGCAGAAATATTAAATTTGTAAATGTAAAGTTCCTTAAGTGAAAACCAATATAAGTATAAAGTGACATTATTAAAACTCACACTATGATGGCATTGAAAAAATTGACTTGTCTCGTTTGATGGAGAATCCAATTTAGGTTAAATAACTATGTTTATGAAATTACTTCAGGATTTATTGGCTGTAGCATGATAACTCATCAACTATAGTTGAGCTTGCAGGAATTTGAGCAGAAAAGTTAATTAACAATAATTTTAAAACTGCCAAAAGCGGCTGCAAGTTCAGTCTGCACTCTGCATACATAGCAACATGTGCTGGGCTTCAAAGAAAAAGTCATTTTCTAAAACTGTTTACTTTTATGTCATTGAACTCATTATTAAAAATAAGTGAACAGTATTGATTTCAATGGTTTAATAATTCAAAATGGTTAAAGGCAATAAGAGCACTTGAACAGACAAATATTTCCTATTATTGTTTATTACTAATGTTAACTATAATGACACAATTAATTCAGGCATGATTTCCCAAAGAGAATTGAAATGCCGTTATCAGACAAATAAGATGCCACAGTCAGTAACTTAAACCTCAGGCAGAAGGCTTTGCAAAGTGATATAATCAATATTACATTCAAGGTGGTATATGGTGTTATTAATTTGCCACAGAAAATATGGAAATTTCATTACCTTTTAAAAATCAAAATATCTCAAAATCTACTTATGTTATATTGGTGTCACTTTGAATAACTACTTTGCAGCATATATATGATTTACAAAACAGCTTACGTTTATTTGCTTTGAATGAGGACACCTGCCACTGTTAGTTAAGAGAAATTATGGCTTATAAATGCTTGGACCTATTAATGCTTAATCAGTAGGAATATAAATTGCCTTATCAACATACCAACAAATTTCATCTATCACTTGTGTTAAAGAAATATCTGTAAATGATTCTTGTTCATAAATCCACTCACATGAATTGCATTTATTCTCTTATTATATTTCCATTTAAAATAATAAACTATTGGCTCTAACACCAACATTGTTTCCACATTTGTCTAACATAAATCTTTTCAAATGGAGGGAAACAAGAATACACTAACACACCTTTGATAGAGAAAAACATTGTGTCTTCTTGGTATCTGTTTCAGTTATCCTCCTTGCATCATGACTAGTTTTCTCCATGAATCTTTACAGTCTTTCAGTTCAGAATTCCTGATATTTAAAAAAATGCACAAAGTTATCAATGGAATTCAAGTAAGAATTGAGAATATGATCAGGAACTTCCTTGAGCCAAGGAAAATCTACTACTGGCTAACAGTGTAGTCAGCTTTCCTTCTTTTCCCTCCCTCCCTTCCTTCCTTCTTTCCTTCCTTCCTTCCTTCTTTCTTTCCTTCCTTCCTTCTTTCCTTCCTTCTTTCTTTCCTTCCTTCCTTCCTTCCTTCTTTCTTTCCTTCCTTCCTTCTTTCTTTCCTTCCTTCCTTCTTTCTTTCCTTCCTTCCTTCTTTCTTTCCTTCCTTCCTTCTTTCTTTCCTTCCTTCCTTCTTTCTTTCCTTCCTTCCCTTCTTTCCCTCTTTCTTTTTTCTTCTCTTTCTCTCCCTTTCTTTCATGAAAGCACTCTTATATCCAACACAACATAAGAAAAACTACAAATTGCCTTTCTGCTCAAAGATACTCACCCTTGGTTGGCAACCTAGGTGGCAAGAATAGTATTTTCTCCCACTCACAGCTTTAAAAAGGAGAAAAAAAATTGATGTGCTGAATATAGATTAGAAAATCTTTCAAATCCAGTAAATAAATATTCCTACAATCCTTTAGAATCTGACTGGTACGATAATAACCATTGTCTTTCAAGAAATGTAATCAGCATTAAATATAAAAGAATTTTGAAATTAAAATACCATTTTATGTCTTTACAAATCTTAAGGAGTATTTTCAGAAGTTATATTTATAAAAGATTAAATAATAGACAAATATACAAAGATAAGATTAATATGTCCACCTACATGCCCCAAACCCAACCTCCTGAGGTGACCACTATTAAGACTCTGGTATATATACTTCCATTAATTTCTACCTGTCTGTATTAACACATGCTTATATCCTTTCATGGATGTTGTGTTACACTGCCCAGATCCCCTTCAGAAATGAAGGCCTCCCCACCCCAGCTGTTGGAAGTGCAGCTGTATGATGCCCTGAGCCATCAGTTATCATTGGGATTACCTCTGCTAAAGAAAACTGACTTTTCTAAGCTTGTGTCTTCTTCCAGGGGCAGTCAACATATACTGACTGTTCAACACAGGAGTGTAAAGGCCTGGCTCCCTGGTGCCAATGCAGAACAAATCAAAAGGAATATGCCAGCTCCAAAGCACCCATAGGGGTGGACAGAGGCTTCTACTTGTTCTTCATCACAAATATTTCTTCCTCTAACCATGTTTCAGCCCCCACTATTCCATGGTTGAGGATTTCAAGAGCACTCCTGATGAACATCCAGTGCACTAATCCCCTTTTCAGTGGGCTTACTGGGGACTTTTAAATAATATTATATGACTTTACAAACAGAGTAAGAACCATAAAGCAGTCTAATGTTCATTATCCATCTCCTGCCTTTGTGTTTCTTTTGTCTTACATTTTACTACTATATATACTATAAACCCCACAGGATCTATTAGTTTTGCTTTAAATAGTCAATAGTCTTTTAAATAAATATAAATACACATGTATACATATACACAGATAAAAGGACAGATGAAGAGAGAAAGACTTACAAAGGCACTAAAAATGTCTTTTACATTGACCTATGCAGATAGTTACTTTGATGCTCTTCCTTCCTTGTTAGAAATCTGGAATCCCATCTGGTATCATTCCCCTTTAGCCTAAAGAACTTCTTTTTTTTTTTTTTTTTTTTTTTTGAGACGGAGTCTCGCTCTGTCGCCCAGGTCGGACTGCGGACTGCAGTGGCGCAATCTCGGCTCACTGCAAGCTCCGCTTCCCGGGTTCACGCCATTCTCCTGCCTCAGCCTCCCGAGTAGCTGGGACTACAGGCGCCCGCCACCGCGCCCGGCTAATTTTTTGTATTTTTAGTAGAGACGGGGTTTCACCTTGTTAGCCAGGATGGTCTCGATCTCCTGACCTCATGATCCACCCGCCTCGGCCTCCCAAAGTGCTGGAAGAACTTCTTAAAGCATGTCTTATATGGAGCTGATGAAAACTCTCAGGTATCATCTCTCTGAGAATGTCTTAATGTTTCCTCAATTTTTGAAGTATATTTTTGTCAAATATAAAATTTAGATTCATAGCTTTTTCTTTCAGTATTCTAAAGGTATGATTTCATTGGCATCTGGTCCTCATTATTTCTGAAGAAATTTCATTATATTTTCTTTCATTTTTCCAAGTATGTAATGTATCTTTTTTCCCTCTGGCTGGTTTAGAGGTCTCTCTCTGCAGTTTTCAGCAGATTGACTGTAACATGCTTAGGTGGTTTTGTCATAGTAGTGGTTGCTTGTATTTGCTTTATCTGGTATTTACTGAGTTTCTTGGACCTATGGCTTGATATTTTTTACTAAGTTTTGAGAAGTCTCAGTTATTATCTCTTCAGAGATTTCTTTTGCCTTATCAACTTTAGCAATGTATATATTAAACTATTTTTATCGCTTCATATATCTTGAACATTTTATTTTCAATTCCTTTTTCCTTTCTTTATGCTTCAATTTGTATGCTTTCTGTTAATCTGTTTTCTATTTCACTGATTGTTTCATTAGCTGTTTTTAGTTTGTTGTTAAGCACATTTAATAATTATTGTATTTCTAAAATCATATTTCTTTATTTCTAGCCTTTCCATTTGGCTACTGGAAATTTCCATTTCAATTAGACCATATCTTTGCAAAATTATCTCTGTGTGAAATTCTCCCACCTTTTCCACTAGATTCTTAAGCATTTTTATCACAGTCAATTTACACAACCCTATTGGATAATTATAATACTTGAGGCATCTGTTAGTCAGTTTCTATTAAACATTGGTTTTCTTGACCTTTAGTCACCATTTCCTTCCTTTCTTCCCTCTTTCTTTTTTCTTCTTTTTTCTTCTCTCCATTTCTCTCATTCTCTTTCTTTTGTACTTTCTTTCTTCCTTCCTTTCTTTCATGTTGTAATTTTTTTACATGCCAGACATTTTTATTAAAGTCCAGTTGAGACTGAAGTAAATAATTATTTCCTCCACAATGAAGCAGAGTTTTGTTTTGTTTTGTTTTAAATCAGGCCACCATGGGGAGAAGCTAAGTCCATCTGATCTAGAATGGGGCCGTGTCTGAGCTTTATAAAATTTTAGTTTAATTCAGCTCACCATGAACTTCAAATACTCTTAATACAGGATCAGGATTTTTCTCTTATTAGGGCCTTGGATCTAAGCACTTGTAATATTCCAGAGAGCTGCCTGTGTTTTAAAGCTGAACTGCCGGCTCTGGTTACTCTCTCCCTGTGTTCCAGCCTGGCTCCCTGATAGTTGGATAGCAAAGAAATAACTTTTGCTCTCCATTCATACTTTTTACTTTCTGAGTCTTACAGTCTTCCCGTATAAGCTGAGTCTTCTGAGGCAGCAGCCCTATACTCAGTCTGAAGTAACTCAAAAGAATTTCTCTTAGCTATTCTCCCTTCCCCCTAGTGTTTGGTAGCTAGGTCCGTATCCGGGTGTCTCTGGGGATCTCTGTGAACTCTCCTGTCTTTCTCCTCCTTGATTTAGGATGGTAGCTCTCTTGTACCTATTCATCTCTCCTTCTCCGTCTCCTTCGTTTGGTTATCAGTAAAGACCCACAGGAAAGAATGACCAGAGGATGGAAATTTTCTCTGTGACTACAGTCTAATCTATCACATGAGCCCACATATTGTCATTAACAGTTGATTATAATTTTGATCAGTTTTTCCTTTCCTGGTCTGTGGTGTATTCCTCCTCTTTTGACAGTTCTGCCAAAGATAAAAGTGGTTGTCATGCTTTCCTTTCCTATAAAAGGCTCCATACTTCCTGGATCTCAGCTCCTCTGGGTATTATCTCAATAAAGTTTTAAAAACTTATTATTTTGACGTTCGTCTTGCCATTTTGGGATGCTGGGTTGAGAGTGAGAATCTCATGACTTCATTTTATCCCTATAAAGCTCTTTTTCTATTGAGGATATTGTCTTTGTGAACTGATACTGAAACATGTTTTAAAGGTTTCAGAGTCCATCTATGTGATATTTATTTTTTAAATATTAAAATCTTCAATTATTTCTCTGCCTCCTTTGAATGACCAAAGATATGGATAGAAGGATTAATTCTTAAGTCTTAGAACAAATTATTTCCTCATTCAAGGAGACTTCGCTCTCAACAATTTCTGTCACTAAATGAGGCTTATAATGAATTTATCAAAATGCACACATGGGTTATTTATATTTATACCAGATCACAAGAATTATTTTGATATACATTTTACAGAAATGTATCCTGGGATAGAATAAATTTAAAAATTAATAGAACACTTGGTCTATGTCTAATATATTCTGAAATATAACAGTTCTGCATCAAGTGTCTATCCACCCATAATGACTTGTCAAAAGTATAATTTACACTAATATCAGGAAACCTAAGATCTTTAAGAGCTGATTCTCTTGGGTTGATTTGGTTCTATCAGAAACAATCTCATCAACTAAATTTGCAAACAACTCCAGGAACATCATATCACAAACCATGTTCTCCATTTAGGGTGAAAGTTAAGAGGCTCCAGAAATCACAGTGAGACACACTTTCAAAGTTATATAATCTCTATACAATGACAAAACTTGTTTCCTCTTTACCCTCATTAGCATGGATATATGGTAATACCAGTACACCTTTCTGACACTCTAACCATAAGAAGTTTTGCGCTCCATATATTAGTCTCATAACTATGGATACAGAAAAACATCAATTTTTTCCATTATCGCAAGCTAGGAGGTAAATGTATTTCAGAATTTAGTGATGATTCCACAGCCCATTAATATGATCTCTCAGTATATTAATACCTGATCATATAATTCTCTACAATGTTCTGGAACAACTTTGTCACATTTCCCTTGATAGTTACTTGCTCATTTGACATGTTTTTTTCCATGTATTATTCATGTACAAAAATATGTTGGCTCTATACTGATCTCTTCATTTGCTGTTTTTAGTTTGCTGTTAAGCACATTTAATAATTATTCTATTTCTAAAATCATATTTCTTTATTTCTAGCCTTTCCATTTGGCTATTGGAAATTTCCATTTTAATTAGACCATAACTTTGCAAAATTATCTCTGTGAAATTCTCCCACCTGAGATTTCTTTTCCTTTCAATCCAAAGGCACCACAGAATTCTCTAAGTTAAAGACAAACACTACATGATCTCACATATATGTGGAATCTGAAGAAGGATCTCATAGAGATAGAGAGTAGAATGGTGGTTACCAGAGGCTGGGGTGGTTTGGGGGGAGACAGGTTGGGGGGATGTTGGACAAAGTATACATATTTATAGTGAGATAAGTGGAACAAGCTTAAGAGATCTAATGTGCTACAGGGTGAATATAGTTAATAATGACATATTGTGTTCCTGAAAAATGCTAAGAGTGGACGTTGTGTTTTCACCACAAAATTGATAACTATGTGATGTAACGCATTTATTAATTAGCTAGATTTGACCATTCTATGATCTACATATAGTTCAAAATATCATGTTATACCCAATGAATACATATAGTTTCATGACAATTTTTAACAAACAAATAAATTTGTAAAAAGTTTATGGATTCAGTTTATGAAATAACCTAGGAAACAAGATATTTCTGAAAGAAAATAAATAAAAAGAAAAAGAAACTGAAAACGTCTTTTTTCTTTGCTCTCTATTTTTATATATTGTTAGATACAAGATGTATACAGAAAATTACATTAAATACCTGTCTCCAGCCTGCTTCATGTATTTCTGCAATGACTAAAGGTGAGATAAATTAGCACTGCCACTCCCACCATATACACCCAGGAAATCCAAACCCTACTCAGTGCCTCTCTTAAATGTTTCCTTTTCTTTAACAATCTCATTAAAATTTATAATGTGGCTTAACTTTTATACCTAAAAGAGACACTATCCTAATATATAGTAATGGCTGTGTGAAATATTCATCACAAAACATTTTAAAATTATAGTTATCTGAGGCTTACATTTTATTATAGTATTTCCTTGCATTCTACATTCACATCTTTGATGTTCCCATCAAGTCCAAGAAGGGAACACATTATATTGACAACATGTGTCATACTACTGTTTTATGAGCAAGGTTGGATTCCTTTTTTGAAACATCATTATCATTTCCTGACTTATTCCAATTCAATTTTAGGTTTAGAGGGATGACATGGTCTCATGGAGGGATAATACCACTGATTATCCACTTCTATAATGGACATATTTCCCATTTTTGGCTCTTTAGGTTTCAAACCGTCCCTTCCCCTTGACACGCTGATCACCCTTGGAGTATGAATGGGTGGAAATGATCACCTCTCACTATTGCAGAAGCCAGATCCTCCACCTCACTGTCCTGTTGAAGATTAGGGGACTTTTTTTTTTTTTTTTTTTTTTTTGTGAAGACAGGGTCTCACTCTGTCACTCAGGCTGGAGTGCAGTGTATGATCTCGGTTCACTGCAACTTCTGACTCCTGGGTTCAAGCGATTCTCTTTCCTCAGCCTCCTGAGTAGCTGGGATTACAGGAGTGCACCACCACGCCCAGCTCATTTTTTTGTATTTTTAGTAGAGACAGGTTTTCACCATGTTCGCCAGGCTCGTCTTAAACTCCTGACCTCAAATGATCCACCCCCTTCAGCCTCTCAAAGATTAGGAGACTTTTATTCCAAAAGATGGGACGCAAATCTTGGAAATAGTTAGAGGTCAGATGCATGACCGCTATAAGTCACACACAAAACTTCTTGTTCTTGTTCTGTAATATACTTGCTACGGTTTCTGTTGTCTGACCCTTCAGACCTTACAGAATCCTTTTCTGTATACTCGCAGGGCTCTCACACATTATATGATCTCTAATATC
Source organism: Homo sapiens (assembly GCF_000001405.40). Classification (NCBI taxonomy): domain Eukaryota; kingdom Metazoa; phylum Chordata; class Mammalia; order Primates; family Hominidae; genus Homo; species Homo sapiens. Next base: position 129,664,868 of record NC_000004.12, on the reverse strand, counting down.
TTTTAAATAAAATCACTTTTTAAATTTTTAAAATAAGATTGCCAGAGTTAGTTTTTATTTCCTACAACTAAGGCATGTGTGCTTATTCAGTGTGTTTTGGAAGCCACACTGAACTTTTTTAAAAAAGTAGATGCCCATGCAACTACTTTTACCTTCAGGAGTATAATGTGGACATCTTCCTTCTTTCTAAGGACTGACTAGGTTAAAAATGCTATTTAGAGTGAGTTGTTTTGGTTTACAAGCTACTGAAGACCACTTAGAAAGTATTTTGCTATAGATATTACTTTTATTGGAAATTAGCCATCTGTTCTAGTACACTCATTTAAAAATTTATTCAATAAATATTTATCAAGCTTCTATATGCATAAGACATCATGTTTAGAACTGGGAACATAGTGATCAACTACACTGTTAGCTTCCAAAGGCATCCTGGCTTTGTTGAAATAAGAATTTATTGAATACATAGTATGCATATTAAAAATGCTTTAGGCATTGGATACACAAAGAAAAAGAACACATGATCACTGTCCTTGAGTTTAGGATATAGTGCAAAACATCAATTCAATTAAATAATTGATTATAGAATACTGTTAAGATTGCTATGATGTTATTAAAACATCAGGAAAATTACTCAAAAGGTGATGCTCATTAAACAAAATTTTGAAGCTAGTCAAGGCAAGAATGAAAATTATTATAGGGCAAAGCAGTATGTATGGGGCATAAAGAAGTAAAAGGTGCTCATGAGTAAAACTAAGTTGTATACGAGCAAAGGCCATGGTGGTGGCAATTGAGGATAAGGCAGAAGAGGTCTTTTATCTTGTGATTTCTTCCCTTAACCCATTTATGTCTGAGGTTGCAATTTTTTGAATTTTTGCAATTAGACCTTGGTGATGACCTTGAGCACTAGGATATAAGTAATTCCCACATGCTTAGCGTTCCAATAATGGAACACTAGGCATAAGTGGGTGGTGGTCATCCACACCCAGGGTAAATCTTCATCAATAGACTCTACAAAATCTCATAGGATTTTTTTTTTCAGAGTCTGACTCTGTTCCCCAGGGTGGAGTTCAGTGTGCAACTCACTACATCCTCAAGGTCCCAGGCTGCTGTGATCCTCCCGCCTCAGCCTCCCAAGTAGCTGGGACCACAGGATCACGCCACCAGACCTAGCTAATTTTTTTGACTTTTTTATACAGTCTCTCGCCATGTTACCCAGGCTGATCTTGAACTCCTGGGCTCAAGCAATCAGAATGCCTTGGCCTGCAGATTTCTTTTTATAGTTAAAATTATCATACATATAAGAATTAGTGGTATATCCTTTGAAAAACTGGCATTTACTACATATTGAGTGATTCCAAAAGCCTTGTAACATTTTAAATATCCACCAGCAAAATATTGGAATTTTCTTTACCCCAGACGCTCATAGCAATAAGTATTAATACCCTCATCCAGATTTTGGAGTCTGATGTGTTAAAAATCATATTTTACGGATGTTTTGATTTGCATTGCTGTGGCTGAATTTGAGCATCCTGTAATATGATTTCCTTTTTTTTTTTACCATTTGTAAATTTTCTACTTATATCCTTTGCTTTTTTTGAGAACAGAGAGATGAGTTGTAGTTTATGTCAATTTATATGAGCTCTTTGTTTATTATAGAATGTTAAGCTTTTCTCATCATGTGCAAACATTTTTTCATATTTATAATATAAACTATTTTATGTTACCTTTTGAAATGCAAAGCATTTTTTAAATGGCATGTGGTTAAACATGTTTTCTTTTCTTTATAGTTTCTAGATTTTTTAGTCTTGGCTAAACTGTTCTTTATTTCAACTCCAGCTTGAATAGGAAGTTTCCATTTTAATTCTCTTTATGATGGTCAGTTGTATCAGCATCATTTATTAACTAGTCAACTATTTTCCTTTTAAATTGAACTCTCATATTTTTGACATGTTATTTTTCATATTTAATTTTGTAACTTCTACTATATTACACTGATCGCATAAAGTTATTAGAATGAGTTCAGTAAAATGGCCTTAGAGAATGTTGTTTCAGTATCTGCTACAGCAAGTATTTCTTCTCAGTTCTCCTTTTTTTAAATAGTTTTTCAAAACCAATTTGTGGGTATTTATTTATCCATATAAATTAAATAAATTGCTATTTAATTCCAAAAGGGGAAACTTATTGTGATTATAAATCGAGATGATATTGGAAATAATCTAGTGGTTTCTTGCTTTATAAGGTTCTGAGAAAGGTTAGTTAAATTTTCAAACTATGACAGTGGATTTGTTTATTTCTCCTTAATTCTGTCATGTTTCTTCATATTTCTTAAAGCTGTGTTATCAGGTATAATCACGTTGGAATTGATATAGCTTTCTGGTAAATTTAGCCTTTTGTCATTATATAGGCATGTTTTTTATCTGCAGCAATGCCTTTTGCCTCAAAGTTTATTTTGTACTACATTCAGGTAACTCAGCTTTTCTGGTTTTACTTGCCTGGCCATATTTTTAATCATTTTATTTTGAATCTTTTAAAATTCCTAATTTTTACACCTCTTTATAGTAACAGCATGTAGGTGGGTTTTGATTTTTATCCATGTGCCTTTTAACTGGAGCATTTAGTCTAATCACATATTAATATCATCATTACTAATATAGTTGGATTTATTTTGACCATCTTATTTTATGCTTTTTTGTCTCAGTTTTTTACTTGTAATTTTTCTTCATCTTAAGTTGGATATATTGTTTTAATTTATTTCACTTTTTCCCCAGACTTTTATAGAATTCACTCTACAAACATGCATACTCCTCTGTATTTGTACCCTCCTCACAAACAATACACCACTACCCACTGTCTGGCCTATATTTTAATATACTTTAGTTGGTTCTTGTATTTTTTTTCTGTCCTAAGACAGTATTATTACTGTGCTCTGAAGTCAACATTTTTACCTTATTCTTCTTCTTCAAAGATAGAGTAGACTCAGTCCAATCAATTAACTCTCTTCTGGGGTTGATCCAACTTCTAGAACCAATTTTTGTGTCAGGCATCTTTTGCTGTATAGGAAACTACTCTGAAACTTAGTGCTTAAAACAAAAGTCATTATTTCTCATAAGTTGATGGGTTGACTTTACTCAGCTTGGATATGTGAAATTACTGAAACTTTTCTTCATGCGTTTATCCTCCAAGAGGGTAGACAAGGCTTCTTTACTTGGCAGCAGCATTCCAAGAAGGCAAGCAAAACTCATATCAAGACCACTGCTAATGTCTCAGTTACCAATATCCCATTGACCCAAACAAGTCACAAGGCCAAGCACAGACTCAATATGGGCAGGATATACACAAAGGTGTTGTGCAGAAAAGGGTTAACTCATAGGCCTGGATCTCAAAAACCTATACATTTCCAAGAAATAGTTTTCCTCAGGATTGGTTTTTGGAAAAAGAGCTCTGAGCCCTTGGAATATTCTGCCTGATATGAGTGTTTTTGTATGCCTGAGGCCTTACACTATAGCATACCACTTTGATGAGATAATTTATGCTAAAAATGTCATTTATGGTGAATGTCATTAAGGCTTTTGTATGCCTGAGGTAATGGGCCATCCTGTACCAATTTTATCATATAGTTCATGCTAACAAATGTAATTTATGGTGAATGCCTGTTTCTGCTTTGGGAGGCTGGAATCAGTGCTGAGCTCAGTTGCATAGGCATGCAGTGACTCCCAATAAATTCTGGATTCAAGGCTCAGAGTCATTACCCTGGCTGACAAAACTTCCTATGTGTTGCCACTCACACGTTGTTTATGAAAGAAATAAGCATGACCACACCACTTCACTGGGAGAGGACATCTCGAAGTTTGTCCATGGTATTCTTTAGACATTTCCTCATGCATCTTTTTTTCTTTGCTTATTTGAATTTATATCCTCTCACAGTAATAAGCTATGACCATGAGTATAACTACTTATTAAAGTCTTGTCAGTTCTTTTAAGAAATCATTGAAACCAAGGTTGGTCTTGGGGACTTCTAAACAGCTGTGAATACCAAAAGACAAGCTTCACTGGGACCACTGATGTAGGAATCTACTGCAGGGGGTGAGACAGACAGAGACCTTAAACACATGGCTCCCAGGCATCACTTAAAGTTCAAAGAGATATTCTCTATTCATATATTGAAAGTCTTAATATTGTTAATATATCAGATTTTCCTGGCTTGACCTTATGGTTTCAATGCAATTGCAATCAAAATCATAGCAAGCTGCTTGGTAGATTTCAACAAACTGATTCTGAAGTTTGTATGAAGGGCAAAAAGCCCTAGAATAGCCACAACACAATCTTGAAGAAGAAGAAAGTTGGAGGAATCACACCACCTAATTTCAAATCTTACTAAAAACTATAGTAATCAAGACAGTATGATATTGGTAAAAGAATATACATAAAGATTGACAGAACAGAAGAGACAGCCCAGGAATAGTCAATTGACAAAGATAGTCAATTGTGTTTTTAAAAGAATGCAAAGGAATTCAAGGGAGAAATAATAACCTTTTTAACAAATGATACTAGAACAATTGGATGTTCAATGCAAAAATATAAACTAGGTACACCTTACAACTTACACAAAAATGAAAAGAAACCATAGATATAAATATAAAATGCAAAATTATAAAATTTCTAATAAAACAGAAAATGTATAAGAAATTTTATTCAAAATATACAAAATTATATATATGTTACAAAATACACAAAGAAGCTTTAAATTCTACAATAAAACATAATAATCTTAAAATGAACAGAATACCTGAAAAGATATGATACAGTTTGGCTGTGTCCCCACCCAAATCTCATCTTAAATTCCCATGTGTTGTGGGAGAGACCCATTGGGAGGTAATTGAATCACGGAGGCAGGTCTTTCCTGTGCTTTTCCTGTGATAATGAATAAGTCTCATGAGATCCGAGGGTTATAAAAAGAGGAGTTTCCCTGCATAAGTGCTCTTCTCTTTGCTTGCCGCCACCCACGTAAGATGTGACCTGTTCCTTTTTGCCTTCCACCATGATTGTGAGACTTCCCCAGCCATGTGGAACTGTAAGTCCAATTAATCCTCTTTCTTTTGTAAATTGCCCAGTCTTGGGTATGTCTTTATTAGCAGCATGACAATGGACTAATACAGTAAATTGGTACCAGTAGGGTGGGACGCTGCTGAAAAGAGACCCAAACATGTAGAAAAGACTTTGCAACTGGTTAACAGACAGATGTTGGAATAGTTTGGAGGGCTCAGAAGAAGACAGGAAAATATGGAAAAGGTTGGAACTTCCTAAGGACTTGCTGAATGGCTTTGAGCAAAAGCCTGATAGCAATATAGACAATAAGGTCCAAATGAGGTGGTCCCAGGTGGAGATGAGGAACATGTTGGGAACTGGAACAAAGGTGAATCTTGTTATGTTTTAGCAAAGAGACTGGTGGCATTTTGCCCTTTACTTAGAGATTTGTGGAACTTTGAACTTGAGAGAGATGATTTAGGGTATTTCTTGAAAGAAATTTCTAAACAGCAAAGCATTCAAGATGTGACTTGGATGCTGTTAAAGGTATTCAGTTTTATAAGGGGAACAGAGCATAAAAGTTTGAAAAAATTGCAGCCTGACAGTGTGATAGAAAAGAAAAACCCATTTTCTGAGGAGAAATTCAAGCGGGCTGCAGAAACTTGTATAAGCAATAAGGAGTCAAATGTTAGTCCCCAAGACAGTAGTGAAAATGTCTCCAGGCCATGTCAGAGATTCTTCACAGCAGCTCCTCCCATCACAGACCCTGAAGCCTAGGAGGAAAAAGTGGTTTCATGGGCCAGGCCCAGGTTCGCTGTGCTATGTGCAGCCCAGAGATTTGGTGCCCTGTGTCCCAGCTGCTCCATCCATGGCTGAAAGGGGCCAACGTAGAGCTCAGTCCATGGCTTCAGAGGGTGCAAACCTCAAGCCTTGGCAGCTTCCACATGGTGTTGAGCCTGTGGGTGCACAGAAGTCAAGGACTGAAGTTTGAGAACCTCTGCCTTGATTTCAGAGGATGTATGGACATGCCTGGATGTCCAGGCGGAAGTATATGCAGGGACAGGGCCCTCTTGGAGAAACTCTGCTAGGGCAGTGCAGATGGGAACTGTGGGGTCAGAGCCCTGACAGAGTCCCTATTGGGACACTGCCTAGTGAAGCTGTGAGAAGAGGGCCACCATCCTCCAGACCATCCAGTGACAGCTTGCCCCGTGCTCCTGGAAAAGCCACAGACACTCAATGCTGGTCTGTGAAAAAAGTCAAGAGGGAGGCTGCACCCTGCAAAGCCACAGGGGTGGAGCTGCTGAAGACCATGGGAACCCATCTCTTGCATCAAAGTGACCTGGATGTGAGACATTGAGTCAAAAGAGATCATTTCGGAGCTTTAAGATTTGACTGCCCCTCAGGATTTTGGACTTGCAAGAGGACTGTAGCCCCTTTGTTTTGGCCAAATTCTCCCATTTGGAATGGATTTACCTAATGCCTGTTCACTCATTGTATCCAGGAAGTAACTAACCTGCTTTTGATTTTAGACTCACAGGAGAAAGGGACTTGCCTCATCTTGAATGAGACTTTGGACTGTGGGGTTTTGAGTTAATGCTGAAATAAGTTAAGACTTTGAGGGACTTTTGGGAAGGCATGATTCATTTTAAAACGTGAGGATATGAGATTTTGGAGGGGCTGGGGCAGAATGATATGGTTTGGCTGGGTCCCCACCCAAATCTCATCTTGAAATTCTACAAGTTATGAGAGAGACCTGGTGGAAGGAAATTGAAACATGGAGGCAGGTCTTTCCCATGCTGTTCTTGTGATAGTGAATAAGTCTCATGACATCTGATGGTTATAAAAAGGGGAGTTTCGCTGCACAAGCACTCCTCTCTTTGCCTGCTGCCATCTATGTAAGATGTAACTTGCTCCTCCTTGCCTTCCACCATGATTATGAGGCTTCCCCAGCAACGTGGAACTGTAAGTCCAGTTAAACCTCCTATCTTGTGAATTGCCCAGTCTTGGGTATGTCTTTATCAGCAGCATGAAAATGGACTAATACAAGATACTACTACACCTAAGAGCACATACATATGTCAAATAATCATACTGAAAAATGTTCAACATCTTTCAACTTTCAGGAGACAAAAATTTAAAAAATAATAATATACCATTATAAACCTATTATTTTACTTGTATTTTTATTTTACTTTAAGGTCTGGTATACATGTGCAGAATGTGCAGGTTTGTTACATACGTATACCTCTGCCATGGTGGTTTGCTGCACCCATCAACCCATCATCTAGGTTTTAAGCTCCTCATGCATTAGGTATTTGTCCTAATGCTCTCCCTCCCTTTGCCCCTGACCCTCTGACAGGCCCTGATGTGTGATGTTTCTTTCCCTATGTCCATGACTTCTCGTTATTCAACTCCCACGTATGAGTGAGAATATGCAGTGTTTGGTTTTCTGTTCCTGTGTTAGTTTGCAGAGAATGATGGTTTCCAGTTTCATCCATGTCCCTGCAAAGGACATGAATTCATTCTTTTTTATGGCTGCATAGTATTACATGGTGTATTATGTGCCCATTTTCCTTATCCAATCTATCACTGATGGGCACTTGTGTTGGTTCCAAATCTTTGTTATTGTAAATAGAGCTGTAATAAACATATGTGTGGCATGTGTCTTTATAGTAGAATGACTTATAATCCTTTAGATATATACCCAGTAATGGGATTGCTGGGTCAAATGGTATTTCTGGTTCTAGATCCTTGAAGAATCACCACACTGTCTTCCACAATGGTTGAATTAATTTACACTCCCTCAACAGTGTAAAAGCAATCCTATTTCTCCATAGCCTCACCAGCATATGTTGTTACCTGACTTTTTAATGATTGCCATTCTAACTGGCATGAGATGGTATCTCATTATGGTTTTGATTTGCATTTCTCTAGTGATCAGTGATGATAAGCTTTTTTTTCATATGTTTGTTGGTCACAAAATTTGTCTTCTTTTGAGAAGTTCATATCCTTTGCCTACTTTTTGATGGGGTTGTTTGGTTTTTTCTTGTGAATTTGTTTAAGTTCCTTGTAAATTCTGGATATTAGACCTTTGTTAGTTGGATAGATTCCAAAAATCTTCTCCCATTCTGTAGATTGCCTGTTCACTCTGATGATAGTTTCTTTTGCTTTGCAGGAGCTTGTTAGTTTAATTAGATCCCATTTGTCAAATCTGGTTTTTGTTGCAACTGATTTTGGTGTTTTAGTCATGAAGTCTTTGTCCATGCCTATGTCCTGAATGGCATTGCCTGGGTTTTCTTCTACAGTTTTTATGGTTTTATGTTTAAGTCTTTAATCCATCTTTAGTTAATTTTTGTATAAGGTGTAAGGAAGGGATCCAGTTTCTGTTTTCTGCATATGGCTAGTCAGTTTTTCTAGTACCATTTATTAAATAGGGTATTCTTTCCCCACTGCTTTTTTTTTTTTGTCAAGTTTGTTGAAGATCAGATGGCTGTAGACGTGTGGTGTTATTTCTGAGGCCTCTCTTCTGTTCCATTGATCTATATATCAGTCTTGGTACCAGTACCATGCTGTTTTGGTTACTGTAGCCTTGTAGTGTAGTTTGAAGACAGGTAGCATGATGCCTCCAGCTTTGTTCTTTTTGCTTAGGATTGTCTTGGCTATACAGGCTCATTTTGGTCCCATATGAAATTTAAAGTAGTTTTTTTCTAATTCTGTGAAGAAAATCAGTGGTAGCTTGATGAGAATAGCATTGAATCTATAAATTACTTTGGGCAATATGGCCATTTTCACAATATTGATTCTTCCTATCCATGAGCATGAAATGTTTTCCCATTTGTTTGTGTCCTCTCTTATTTCCTTGAGCAGTGGTTTGTAGTTCTCCTTGAAGAGGTCCTTCATGTCCCTTGTAAGTGTATTCCTAGGTATGTTCTTCCCTTTGTAGCAACTGTGAATGGGAGTTCACTCATGATTTGGCTCTCTGCTTGTCTATTTTTGGTGTATAGAAATGCTATGATTTTTGCACATTTATTTTGTACCCTGAGATTTTGCTGAAGTTGCTTATGAGCTTAAGGAGTTTTTGGGCTGAGACAATGTGGTTTTCTAAATACACAATCATGTCATCTTCAAACAGAGACAATTTGACTTCTTCTCTTCCTATTCAAATACCCTTTATTTCTTTCTTTTGCCTGATAGCCTTGGCCAGAACTTCCAATACTATGTTGAATAGGAGTGGTGAGAGTGGGGATCCTTGTCTTGTGCCAGTTTTCAAAGGGAATGTTTCCAGCTTTTGCCCATTCAGTATGATATTGGTTATGGGTTTGTCATAAATAGCTCCTATTATTTTGAGATATGTTGCATCCATACCTAGTTTGTTTAGAGTTTTCAGCATGAAGGGGTGTTGAAATTATTGAAGGCCTTCTCTGCATGTATTGAGATAATCGTGTGGTTTTTGTCATTGGTTCTGTTTATGTAATGGATTACATTTATTGATTTGCATATATTGAACCAGCCTTGCATTCAGGGATGAAGCCAAACTGATCGTGGTGGATAAGCTTTTTGATGTGCTGTTGGATTTGGTTTGCTAGCATTTTACTGAGGATTTTCGCATCGGTATTCATCAGGGAATATTGGCCTGAAAGTTTCTTGTTTTGTTGTGCCTCTACCAGGTTTTGGTATCAGGATGATGCTGTCCTCATGAAATGAGTTAGAGGTGAATCCCTCTTTTTTTATTTTTTGGACTAGTTTCAGAAGGAATGGTAGCAGCTCGTCTTTGTACCTCTGGGAGAATTCGGCTGTGAATCTTTCTGGTCCTCGGCTTTTTTTGGTTGGTAGGTTATTAATTACTGCCTCAATTTCAGAACTTGTTATTGGTCTATTCAGGGATTTGACTTCTTCCTGGTTTAGTCTTGGGGGAGTATATATGTCCTGGAATTTATCCATGTCTTCTAGATTTTCCAGTTTATTTGCATAGAAGTGTTTATAGTATGCTCTGATGATAGTTTGTATTTCTGAGAAATTAGTGGTGATATGACCTTTATCATTTTTTATTTTGTCCATTTGACTCTTCTCTCTTTTCTTCTTTATTAGCCTGGCTAGCAGTCTATTTTGTTAATCTTTTCAGAAAACCAGCTCCTGGATTCATTGATTTTTGGAAGGGTTTTTCATGTCTCTATCTCCTTCAGTTCTGCTCTGATCTTAGTTATTTCTTGTCTTCCACTAGCTTTTGAATTTGTTTGCTGTTGTTTCTCTAGTTCTTTTAATTGTGATGTTAAAGTGTCGATTTAGATATTTCTCAATTTCCGATGTGGGCATTTAGTGCTATACATTTCCCTCTTAACACTGCTTTAGCTGTGTCCCAGAGATTCTGGTACATTGTGACTTTTTTCTCATTGGTTTCAAAGAACTTATTTATTTCTGCCTTAATTTTGTTATTTACCCAGTAGTCACTCAGGAGCAGGTTGTTCAGTTTCCATGTAGTTTTATGGTTTTGAGCGAGTTTCTTAATCCTGAGTTCTAATTTGACTGCCTGTGGTCTGAGAGACTGTTTGATATGTTTTCCATTCTTTTGCATTTGCTGAGTAGTGTTTTACTTCCAATTACGTGGTTGATTTTAGAATAAGTGCTATGTGGTGCTGAGAAGAATATATATTCTGTCGATTTGGGGTGGAGAGTTCTGTAGTTGTCTGTTAGGTCTGTTTGATCCGGAGCTGAGTTCACGTCCTGAATATCCTTGTTAATTTTCTCATTGATCTGTCTAATTTTGACAGTGGGGTGCTAACGTCTCCCACTATTATTGTGTGGGACTCTAAGTCTCTTTGTAGGTCTCTGAGAACTTGCTTTATGAATCAGGGTGCTCCTGTATTGAGTGCTATATTTAGGATATTTAGCTTTTCTTGTTGCATTGATCCCTTTGCCATTATGTAATACCCTTCTTTGTCTTCTTTTATATTTGTTGGTTTAAAGTCTGTTTTATCAGAGACTAGGATTGCAAACCCTGCTTTTTTTTTTCCTTTCAATTTGCTTGGTGAGTATTCCTCCATCCCTTTATTTTGAGCCTATGTGTCTCTTTACACCTGAGATGGGTCTCCTAAATACAGCACAACAATGGGTCTTGACTCTTTATCCAATTTGCCAGTCTGTGTCTTTTAATTGGGGCATTCAGCCCATTTACATTTAAGTTTAATATTGTTATATGTGAATTTGATCCTGTCTTCATGATGCTAGCTGGTTATTTTGCACATTAGTTGATGCAGTTCCTTCACAGTATCATTGGTCTTTATATTTTGGTATGTTTTTTGCAGTGGCTGGTACCAGTTTTTCCTTTCCATATTAGGTGCTTCCTTCAGGAGCTCTTGTAAGGCAGGCCTGGTGGTGAAAATCCCTCATAATTTACTTGTCTGTAAAGGATTTTATTCCTCCTTCACTTATGAAGTTTAGTTTGGGTGGATATGCAATTCTGGGTTGAAAATTCTTTTCTTTAAGAATGTTGAATATTGGCCCCCTTCTCTTCTGGCTTGTAGGGTTTCTGTAGAGAGATTTGCTGTTTGTCTGAAGGGCTTCCCTTTGTAGGTAATCTGACCTTTCTCTCTGGCTGCCGTTAACATTTTTTCCTTTGTTTCAACCTTGGAGAATCTGACGATTATGTGTCTTGGGGTTGCTCTTCTCGAGGAGTGTCTTAGCGGTGTCCTCTGTATTTCCTGAATTTGAATGTTGGCCTATTTTGCTAGGTTGGGGAAGTTCTCCTGGATAATATCCTGAAGTGTGTTTACCAGCTTGGTTCCATTCTCCCCACCACTTTCAGGTACACCAGTCAATCACAGATTTGGTCTTTTCACATAGTCCCATATTTCTTGGAGGCTTTGTTCATTCTTTTCATTTTTCTTCTCTAATTTTGTCTTCACGCCTTATTTCGTTAAGTTGATCTTCAATCTCTGATATCATTTCTTCCACTTGATCGATTCAGTTATTGATACTTGTGTATGCTTCACAAAGTTCTCGTACTGTGTTTTTCAGCTCCATTAGGTCATTTATGTCCTCCTCTAAACTGGTTATCCTAGTTAGCAATTCCTCTAACCTTTTTTCAAGGTTCTTAGCTTCCTTGCATTGGGTTAGAACATGCTCTTTTAGCTCAGAGGAGTTTGTTATTACCCACCTTCTGAAGCCTTCTTCTGTCAATTTGTCAAACTCATTCTCTGTCCAGTTTTGTGCCCTTGCTGGAGAGGAGTTGTGATCATTTGGATGTGAAGAGGCATTCTGGTTTTTGGAATTTTCAGCATTTTTGCACTGGTTTTTCCTCATCTTCATGGATTTATCTACGTTTGATCCTTGGTGCCGATAGCCTTTGGATGGGTTTTGTGTATGGGTGTCTGTTTTGTTGATGTTGATGTTATTCCTTTCTGTTTGTTAGTTTTTCTTCTAGCCGTCAGACCCCTCATCTGCAGGTCTGCTGTAGTTTGCTGGAGGTCCACTCTAGACCCTGTTTGCATGGGTATCACCAGCAGAGGCTGCAGAACAGCAAATATTGCTGCCTACTCCTTCCTCTGGAAGCTTCATCCCAGAGGGGCACCGGCCTGATGCCAGCCGGAGCTCTCCTGTATGCAGTGTCTGTCAACCTCTGTTGGGAGGTCTCTCCAAGTCAGGAGGCATGGGGGTCAGGGACCCACCTGAAGAGGCCGTTTATCCCTTAGCAGAGCTTGAGCACTGTGCTGGGTGATCTGCTGCTCTCTTCAGAGCCAGCAGGCAGGAATGTTTAAGTCCAGCGAAGCTGAACCCACAGCCGCCCCTTCCCCCAGGTGCTCTGTCCCAGGGAGATGGGAATTTTTTCTATAAGACCAGTGAGGAGGAATCTAGACAGGTAGTCTGGCCACAGCCGCTTTGCCATGCACAGTGAGTTCTGTCCAGTCTGAACTTCCTGGCGTCCTCAACACTCTCAGGGGAAAACCACCTACTCAAGCCTCAATAATGGTGCATGCCTCTCCCCTCACCAAGCTTGATCATCCCAGGTTGACTTCAGACTGCTGTGCTGGCAGCAATAATTTCAAGCCAGTGGTTCTTAGCTTGCTGGGCTCCATGGGAGTGGGACTCACTGAGCAAGACCACTTTGCTCCCTGGCTTCTACCCCTTTCCAGGGGAGTGAACGGTTCTGTCTTGCTGGGGTTTCAGGCCCCAATTGGGTACACACACACACACAAAAAAAAAACTCCTACAGCTAGCTCAGTGTGTGCCTAAATAGCCGCCCAGTTTTGTGCTTGAAATCCAGGGCCCTGGTGGTGTAGGCATACAAGGGGATCTCCTGGTCTGCAGGTTGCAAAAACCGTGGAAAAAGCATAGTATCTGGGCTGGATAGTACTGTCCCTTAGGGCTTCCCTTGGCTAGGGGAGGGAGTTCCTTGATCCCTTGTACTTCCTGGGTGAGGCGACGCCCTATCCTGCTTCTGCTCGTGCTCTGTGGGCTGCACCCACTGTCTAACCAGTCCCAAAGAGATGAACTGGAAATGTTAGAAATGCAAAAATCACCTGCCTTCTGTGTTGGTCTCACTGGGAGCTGCAGACCAGAGCTGTTCCTATTTGGCCATCTTGCCAGATCTCCCTAGAATTCTTAAATCATTCTGAAAATATAAAATGCTAACATGTTTACATTATAAACCAGATTTTATCTAGATTATTTCCCGAAGCAAGTTTCTCAAGAGATAAAGTTAAATGCATAAGCAATCTAGGAAATACTATATAATATATTCTCCTATTTGAGATCTACCTAGTAAATATTCTGAAAAATCAAGCAATAAAGAAACGTGTTTAGGCCAGGTGCAGTGGCTAATGCCTGTAATCCTAGCACTTCGGGAGGCCAAGTCAGGTGGATCACTTGAGTTCAGGAGTTGGAGACCAGCCTGGCCAGTGTGGCAAAACCCTGTCTCTACTAAAAATACAAAAAATTAGCTGAGTTTGGTGGTGCACATCTGTAATCCCAGCTACTTGGGAGGCTGAGGCATGAGAATCACTTGAACCTGGGAGGCAGAGTTTGCAGTGAGCGGAGATCGTGTCACTGCATTCCAGCCTGGGTGACAGAGCAAGACTCCCTCTCAAAAAAGAAACCTATTGAATTTTTTAAGCTTATGTTTTCCAATCTTATTGAAACAGAACTCTTTTTTTTTATTAAGAGACACTTTTCAAAGAAGTATCTCTTCTTTGACACTTTCAGAGTGTCTATTAATATCCTCTGGAACACATTTTGGGAAAGGTTGTTAAAATATGTATTGTTTTCCCTTTTTAAATATACCTAGTTTTTATTTTGGTTCTTAATATACCTACAGACCTATTGCTTAAAATTGTTTTAAAATTAGCATATTTGAGTTCTAATCTTTGTTTCACTATTTAGATCTACTTCTGTGATCTTGGGAAAATAACATAAAATCTCTTAAGTGTCTGTTTCCTCATCTGTGAAATGGAACAATAACAGTGCCCAACTCACTGGATTGTTACAAGGATAAAATAAAATTATGTATGTAGAGCAGGGCATTTGTCACACAGTAAGTTTCCCATACATATAAGTTTTTTCTTTCATCATGATCATCATCACCATCTCATTCCTGCTTTCACTTTTTTCACTCATCAATTCTAATGTTAGCTCAATAATAAAGAGGTAACTATGAGAGGGACCCCAATGAGAAAGCCAAACTCAAGGTCCCTAGACTCTCAGAAAAACAAAAAAAAAAACAAAACCAAAAAGCAACAAAAGCTTTCTCTTCAGATGATAATCTTAAAGAATTTGGTGTTATTTTTAATGAAAGAAAATAGTATTTGCTTCTAAAATTTTAGAATTGTATTCTGATTTTTTGTAAAAGAAAATGTACATAGGAGAAAAGTAATTATTTAATATGATAATATTTAATACAATAATTATCTGGGTCAGGTGCAGTGGCTCATGCCTGTAATCCCAGCACTTTGGGAGGCTGAAGAGGGCGGATAACCTGAAGTCAGGAGTTCAAGATCAGCCTGGCTAACATGGTGAAACCCCATCTCTACCAAAAATACAAAAATTAGTCAGGTGTGCTGGCAGGCACCTGTAATTCCAGCTACTTGGAAGGCTGAGGCAGGAGAATCACTGGAACCTGGGAGGTGGAGGCTGCAGTGAGCCGAGATTATACCACTGCACTCCAGCCTGGGCAACAGAGTGAGACTCTGTCTAAAAAAAAAAAAAAAATTATCTGCAGCACACTTCATGCCATGCCTTCCTTACATTACATTTACTTATAATAGACTATGACCCTCCTAAGGTCAAGATGTCTGTATAACTAAAAAATATTTACAACTCAATTGCAGTTACTCTACAAATGTAGTAACATTTGAATTGTTTCTGTGAATCACTGATCTTTTAGATGCATGTTCAGTTTTGGAGGAATCTTGGGCAACCTTCAGAAAAGAAGAGCGGCATTGAATTAAATGGACTATAAAAGGAAATCTTTCAGCTGAAGTATTCTGACAGCAGCATATTCTTGCCAACCAGGTCGTTCCAAATGTGTATCTGACCATTATTTTAAATTAGAAGATATACCACTGTCAAACCATATCAGCCAAGAATAAAAAGTGACATAATAATGTTAAAGGAAAAACCACTGACAATTTTTTCAGTAGTTCTCATCCAGTACCATAATGCAATAGAATGTCATAAGTAATTTGTTTCTAATAACACTAAAAGCTTCAAAATTCAAGAGATAATTTACTTTACTATAAAACATTGTCTTAGCATGATTCAAGGTTACTCTTATACATCACCTTTCCTTGGTTGCATTCAATTTGCTTTCTTTAATGAGGAAAGTAATAGGGTTGACAATATAGGTACTGCCCTGGAGAACTGGCCTCAACCCCAGTTTACAAATACATCAGTCAGATGTATTCTATGCCATGATAAAGAGAACATAAAAACCCCTGGACTATAGAATGATTCATACACACTCTGATGCTTTTAGATTCCAAATGAAGACAACAATTAATAGAAGTAAAGAGGATGTTGAAAAATTCAAAAGCCATTTTCTGTTTATCTTCATCTTCTATTTCATAGTTCATAAAATAATTATACCCCATATGATTATGCTACAATAACACCAATTAATTGGACAATGGAAGCAATAATTCCAAGTATGAACCATTCAAGATAATTGATAACATACTCTGTTCTGAAATCAGGTGTATAAAACCTTGTTGTTAAGTACACTGTAGCTTAAGTTTTGGCAAATCAAATATTAACTGTATATAATAACTCGATATTTCAGGAGTTTCCAATTACTCTTTTTTGTTTGTCATTTATAAAAGGAGAGATAGGGCTAATATGATTATATAAAATATTCAGTTCACATTTAAAAGAAAATAACTGCACAACACTTCAAAGTAGCTATGGAAATACTTATTAAATGGTCATATAAATTCTAAACAATAACTTGCATTCCCAAAATACCAAACAATTAAAAACAGAAAGGGGACTGGCTGTCCTAATGGAAAATATTCTTTCTGATATTTTGTTAAGTTTGGTTTTGCATTTTTAAAAGAATGAACAGAGATACCTTCTAGGAATCTGATGTGTTCTTCAGTCTGAATTACCATACAGGCATTATTTTCTGCCACTACCCATGGATAAAAAGCAACTTTAAAACTTAATTTAGAGACTCCTCTGTCCCCTCCTCTTCCCCTTCCCCCTATGAGTTATTTACTCCAGACGAAGATTATTTTCTGCTCAAATGGAACACTTTTCAATTAAATAAATATTAATTTATATAAGGCTACAGTTTCTATGTTCAACTGTGGGACATCTTTAAAACATAAATCATTGCAAAATTACATATTTCAAATTTAATGTAAACAAAAGTGATCTAAGTGTTGTGTTATTTCTACTTTTTAATTCCTATTAACTAGAAATATAAATATTTCATCCAAACAATTGTATCTTTAATTGTATCAAGATACCCACTTTTTACTATCATATCTTTCATTGTGGCTTGATTTAAACATTGTTTTATTATTGTATGTTGCTGCTCACATCTCTGACCAGGGTAGCACAAAATATAAGTCATCACTTCAAATGTCCCCAGCTGCTCTTTTGTATTTTGATAGGTCCAATCATTCTTAACAAGAATGCTTGATAGCTTTGGAAACCTCAGCAATACAGTACCACATTCTTGACTTTTTTTGTATGTTATTATTTTATTCTACAGCATAACAGGTACTTCATTTCTGTAGATTAAATCAAAAGATGAAAATTTCAAGCTTTCAACTCTTTCTTGTTTAGGTTAATCTTCCAAACTCTTTATAAAGCTCATAGTTTACAATTCTCCTGAGCTTATGAGTATGCACACACATATGTACCTGTACATGAGCTATTAGATAAAAGAGAATTTTTTAACAACAAAAAAAAGCTGTTGAATTATAGAGTTGAAAGATGGACAGACAGCAGGACATAATACTCAAAGCCACAGTTTTAGGCATTATAACTAATGAGAAATCCTATTTAAAAAAATATTTTGAGTAATAATGTTTTCTTTTTAATAAATTTAAAATGTAACATTTATTATTCCCTTAAAATAATGTCTTGCCTTAAATGGGTTTCAAAATGTGAAAGCTTTCAGTTAGTATAAAACATTGGAATCAATAATAATAGTGGTTATTGTCGTTATTGTTTTATTTTATATGTATTTGTTTTCTGTTGAAAATAAATTTTGATTTTTTTTTTTTTTTTTGAAATGGAGTTTTGCTCTTGTTGCCCAGGCTGGAGTGCAGTGGCGCAATCTCGGCTCACTGCAACCTCTGCCTCCTGGGTTCAAGTGATTCTCCTGCCTCAGCCTCCCACGTAGCTGGGATTACAAGCATGAGCCACCACACCCAGCTAATTTTGTATTTTTAGTAGAAACGGGGTTTCTCCATGTTGGTCAGGCTGGTCTCAAACTCCCAATCTTGGGTGAGATGCCTGCCTCAGTCTCCCAAAGTGCTGGGATTACAGGCGTGAGCCACCGCTCCTGGCCTAAATGTTGATTTTTTTAAAAGGTAGCATAGGGATGATGCAGAAGACGCATATTGAATTGAATTTTCTAAATGTGATGCTATATAGCCCCAAGCCATACTATTTCACCTTGTCCTTTTTGCAAAACAATCTTAATGCCAACTAAATGTGGAGACATGCGACGCAACTAAGATTTTTCCATCGGAAGAACAAATCAACATGTGTACCTTATGCAAAAATTTAGATGTATTTATGTCACTGTGTAAACACATGAGCTAACTTACCCTTAAAAGTAATATTGTTTATGTTAAAGTGATCTAAAAAACTCTTTATTTTTCCTGTTATATCTAATCTAACATTTCCCTATTGTACTAAGAAAGAAACGTGCAATCCTATAAGGCTTTGGTTCAGAGAAAGATTCTAATACAATTACAGATTATATTTAAGGGCCTATCTTGAGAGTTGGAAAAGGCTCACAGATATATACCAAATACTACCATAAATAGCAGGTATCAATTTCTGAGAGAATTGAGTAGCATTTCTTATGTGGAACAAAAGTGCTCTGTAAAGAACAAACATACAGAGGGAAGTAACAAACACTGGGGACTCCAAAAGCGGGGCAGGGGTGTGAGAGTTGAAAAATTACCCACTGGGTATAATATTCACTATTGGGTGATGGACACACTAGAAGCCCAAACCTCACCATGATACAATATATCCATGTAACAAACCTGCACGTGTACCATCTGGATCTATTAAAAAATATATATTTAAAGAGTAACAGTGTTAAATAACGTATGAGAGGTGTTGCTCATACTGTATTAGCCCTTAAACACCAATTACCTTTCTTCTCTATTTCTTTACCCACCCTCAAGAACAATACTTGGTAAAATTATTTACACCTATCATTACATCTATCATACTAGTTCAGCTCAATAAGTCACACATACACAACAATGACCTTTCCAAGAAACATTTGAATTTGACATAAAAATAGGGTGCAGTTAGATTGCCACACAAAAAACTATTCTTCGCAAAATATCAATGCTCAGCAAACCTTTACATTGAAAAGAACAGATTTGTGATGCTCAGAACAACAGATGTTAGTTTGCTATTACATTAAAAACGGAACATAAAAGAGAAAGATATTTGCTTGTATCATATGCTGTGAGTTGATCATCTGCATCTGCTTGGCATGTTTGGGTCTAAATGAAGCAAGTTGAATTTCCAAAGAAAGTATCCATTTACTGCCGCATAGTCAAAGCAATTACATTTCTTTCCTGCTGCACTCATCAATCATAGAACAAGTCAAATATTCACACTGCAGCTTAAGCAAGAACACCAAAGGAACCAGGTGTCACACACCAGGTATTAAGTATGTGAGTGAGATACTGAAGAGAAGAGGCTGGGTGATGCTGGAGATGGAGGATAGAGGGAAAGCCCTTGAGGCACCCTGACTGCATGGAGTCATATTGTCTCTTTTCCACAGAATTAATTTAATTAGCCTCTCCCCAGTATTTTGTACTGTTCCTAACGTTGAATGGTCACTGATAGAAAGTTGCGTCACTGCTGCCCTTACTAGAGGAGCACTCTTCTGTTCTGTAATGGTGATTTGCCTCAGGTGAAAAATAGGATCACTCTCTGTTCCTACTGATTTCTGAAAAAGAAAATGCTTCCTCCCAACCAGCACTGCACTATTATTTTTGTTATCACTTTTCATACAGCTGCACCTTCTCTAAGGAAAACTGGGGGAAAAGTATCAAACTCTTGCCTGTGCCTAGAGGTAGAAACTGAAATCCAATTATCTAATAGATAGAAACACTTAATATTACATCTTTAAAAAGAAAAGCAGAATTAGTTTAAAAATAGAATGTCTTTGCCAGTGTTTAGTGTGTAATTTAAGTTTTACAAAGGAAATATGCAATCCCGGAAATATGAAATTTAGTAAAATATAATATTTGTATCTAAGCTTAAATTTTTGTTGTGTCAACGTATGTTTAAACTTTCACCTTCTGTTCATTCAGTTCATAAATTAACAAAATTTTTGATCAATAAACCTCATAAAATAATCTTTTATGAGTATAATCTAATTCTTGGGTTTTAGATTGCTTGTTCTTCCTTTATTCCTGAAACAAAACCATAATCTATTCCCAAGGTAAAAAAAAAAAAATACTTTTACTTCAGAAATGTTGGCTAGTAGAATAAATCGGTAAAAGGTTTATTTATTCATAAGTATAGTATTTTACCTAACAATAAATTACAAAGTTACAAAACAATAAGTTACAAAGCAAAATTCATTCACAATTCAATTAAATTCTCTTCTAAGCACTATGGAATGATAAACATTAATTTAATTATATGGAAAAAAGCTGTATGCCTACAAATTAAATTATAATAGGATTTGAATTCAAAATGGAAGACTGGTAACTATACTTCCTTCCTTCCACCAACATTTATTGAAATGATAGAAAATAATACAAATTAAATAAATTCCAGAAAAAAACTAGCAATAAGTAGGAGATGCCCTGAGCAGAGAAAAGCCTACAACTAACTTATGGAGGCTAGCAGATAAATGAGATCAGCTCAGAGAATACTCCTGATAAGACTGCAGCAAAAATAGGAACTCTTCAACTGCTGGAGTTGGCAGAATGAGAGAGGAAGAGGAGGAGGAAAAGGGGAAAGAATTTATTGGTGGAGAATGGCATTGTGAGGACTCAGATTACCAACAGGAAATATCAGTAAGGGTTCAACTGCAATAGAAATATTTGTATTGACCAGAAAGACTATAATACAGTGAGTTAAGTGTTTCTAATACCTTGGAAAGACTTGGGCAACTATATCTCTTGATTCACAGACTACCTTTTCAGTTAGTCTCTATTAACAAATAACCATACCTTCAAAATGCAAGAGTGGCATTTACTCCCAGGCTGAACTGGTAACATTTTTATGACATAAATTGGTCAGTCTGTTGAGACTAGACTTGCTTAATTCTATTCTCACGCCTAAGTTACAAATTTCAAAATTTAGATCTGAGAATAAATTTATTTTCAAAACTGGGGTATATTATTCTCACCCTCTAGCATTATCTACAAGGACTATGGCTTTTTATCAAACTTCTTACAGTAAACGATTGCTTTTTTTTATTGGCATAGTACAATAAATAAGAAGCAGAGACTGTTTTCCACAGACAACAGTAAAGATGCCACACATCTTTACTCTGAGACCATTAAAATTTCTGTTAGTGACAATGTTAGAATAGTTTGTTTTAGACTAAACTTCCTGCTAAGAGCACCTATCAAATCTAGGGAAAGTAATTTTTTTAATCTTTATAAAAACATTAAAGAGTTATTTTGTCAATAAAGATTTTTAGGACCAAGACCAAGGGGAAAAGGTCCAGACTAATGACTCCAGAATTTGATATTATTTTTTGTCTCAAGGCATTTGAAATCCCAAAACATATAGCAGAGCGGAACTTTCAGGAGACTCAAGGGGTTAGGCAAAATTTGGAATTTCGAGTTCAGCAGTATAGACAGGCTCTGAAAAGGACCCCAAGCATTTAGTTGTGACTCAAAATGGCTACACTCTAGGAGTAAAAGTAAATGAGAAATACAGCAATTGTCATGAAGATTGAAGCCCAGACAAGTTATTTGAATTCATAATTGAAGTAAAGTGATCTGAATAGTTATTGTCATACTCTACCTGCCTATTAGAAACTAAACCAAGTCCACTTAGGAGAGGTATAATACCATTCAAAGCATCCAATCCCCTTTATAGTTTTTAATATACAGTGTCTAGCATTTAATTTCTTAAAAAAACAGCTATAAAAATACAACATTTAATATAAACCAAGAGGATAAACCTATTATAGAAACAGGCCCATGACAAATCTAAGAAATCGAGTTATTAGACATGGACATTAAAATAAAATTACTGCGATCCTACTGGGATCATCTACCTTCTGCCAATAAAAGATCCTAGTAAAAGCTCAGAAATGGAAGTGTATGAAAAGTAACAGAAAAGATAATTATGTAGGTAAATCCAAATGAATATTGGTTGAATAAAGCAATGGTAATAATGTCCAGTGATGATCAAAATCTATTTTATGTCAAAATAGTTTTGTTTTGTTTTGCAATTGAAAGAAGGTTAAGGAAATTAAACTTACAGTGTTTTGTGTAGCCCTTGAAAACATTTTTCAAGATATATCCATGGTTTGTTAATATTGAAAAATCTACTAATCCAATAGGATCCAAATTTCCACTCTTTATGTATTTAGAGAGATACATTTATAGAGATATTTATAGAGATAAATAAAGAAAGTTAAATAAAAGGAAGATATATATTTTTATGTTTAAACATTAGGTAGCTATTCCAGGGTTCTTATGAAAGGGAGTATAAAACTGCATAAATGAACACAATTATTTTCTGTTTGGATTTACAATGTATTCTATAATGAATACTTTTATAAAGAATAGTGTGCTTCCCTTAAAAGCATTAAGCAAAAGCGTAGCCAAAAGAAAGTGGAAGTAACAATGTTTGACACATTGACAATGAATAAATTTATTATTTAAAATAATCTAATAATGAGAATGTGACATCGGCAAGATGGTGGAATGGGAAGCCCTACTCTCTTCCCCCACTGGAGACACTAACTCAACAACAATACAAGGACTAATTCCCTTTGTGAGGAATACAGACACCAATTAATAAGTTCTTAAACCTTGGGCAAACGCTGTATTGGGCAGAACCTTGGGAAAAAAAACCAGCTGCATTGAAGTGGGTAAAAAATATTGATGGTACTTACTTACTAAAGTCTCTCTCCCATCTCCTCAGCTTCTGGCTTCTCTCTGCGTAGGAAAAGACTAAACCATATGTCCAATATTCAGACTTTTCAGGATACTGCCCAAGGGACTGGTTTCTGTCTTGGTGAATCTAAGCTCTGACAGGAAAGGATGCCAGCTTGGAAGCAGCTGAGAACAAAGGTGACAGTTTAAAGTAGTAGATATTCATTTGCCATAATCTTTCCTCCACAGCTCAGCATGGAATGAGTGAAGAAAGCCCCAAACTCCCAGCTTCTTCCTGGGAAGGGAGTTAACATATGCATCCAATGTTCTGGCTAGTCGGAAGACTGTTTGAGGGTCTAGTTTCTGTCTCACCTAAATCAGACCAATGACAAGACCCAGCATACACTAGGTTACTGGCGGCCACTGAAAGCAAGAGAGTTGAGTGACTTGCTGCTACTTCAGGGGTCTCATGGAATAGGAAAAATAAGTTCAGAAGTCTTTCCCCACCGGGAAAAAAGAGTTGAGTGTGCATCCAGTGTTCTAGCTTTTGGAGAGATTGCTCCAGGAACTGGTTTCTGTCTCACCCAACTTAGAGCACTGACGGAACTTAGCAGATGCTAGAAGCCTAGGGATCACTGAGAACAAAAAGAGAACTGGGCAGCTTGAGGAAACTCCGAAGAATCTGCAGTACTGCAGGCAGACACCAGAGGGTGCAATAAATTAGAAGTACCTGCAAAAAGATATCAGCAAATCCTTCTAATATAGAATTTGCTCATACAAATCTAGAGAAGACATATCAACAGAAAAGGTTTAAGGGGTCGCAGAATCTCCAGCTGGGCTGACTGACGAAGGTCTTTTAATTTACAAAACCAGTCCTTAAATACTAGAAGAGGTGGTTGTTTTCTCAAATGTGTGGATCTAAGTGCAAAATAACAGGGAACCATGGCCTAATCAAAGGAAACAAGGACACATGATTTAATCACAGGAACAAAATAAATTTCCCAGAAATGACCCAAAAGAAATGGAATTATATAACTTTATCTTATAACAAATTCGTAATAACCATCATAAGCATGCTCAATGAGCTCAGGAACAAGATACATGAACAAAATGACAATATCTACAAAGAGATAATTTTTTAAAAAAAGCAATGAAGCAGTAGTTTGGAACTGAAGTATACAATAATTGAATTTAAAAATTCACTACAGGGCTTCAACAGCAGACTTGAACACACAGGTAGAATAACCAATAAAATCAAAGGCAAGTCATTTGGAATTATCCAGTCAGGAACAAAGAGAAAAAAATAATAATAAAGAGCGAAGAAAATGTAAGGAATTTATGGGACACTATCAAATGCATCAATATACACATTATTTGAATACCAAAAGATCAGGAAGAAAGATGAAGAAAGCTTTTGTTTAAAGAAACAATGGCTAAAAAGTCCCCAAATCTGAGGCAGGAAATGGACATCTAAGGTATAAGAAGACCAGAATGAAACCAAGAAAACCCATACCAAGACATGTCATAATCAAATTGTAAAAATCAAAGAAAGAATTTTGAAACTGGCAAAAAATGCAATTCATTATTTACAAAGAAGCTTTCGTAAAACTCTTAGCATATTCTCAGCAGAAACCTGGCAGTCCAGAAGCAAATAGGATGATATATTCAAACTACTTAAGAAAAAAAAATATTGCCATCCAAGAATAATATATCAAGTAAAACTGTTTTTCAAAAATTAAGAAGAAATAAAGTATTTCCCAGATAAACAAAAACTGAAGTATTTCATAAACACCAGGCCTACCTTACAAGAATGCTAAAAGGGGTCCTTCAAGTTGTAATGGAAGGACACCAGACAGCAACCCACAAGTAAACAAAAGTGTAAAGTATGCTGGTAAAGATAGATATAAAGATAAATAGAGAATGCTGTAATTCTGTAACAGTGATGCATGAAGCTTCTCTGAGTGAAGCATAAAGAAGAAAGTATGAAAAATACTAATGAACGGAATTCAGGGGCACAATAAAATGATCATATACCATCACCAAGTGGGATTTACCCATGAGATGCAAAAGTTTTTCAACATATGAAAATCAATCAATGTGATACACTGCCTTAACAAAACAAATAATAAAAAATACATGATCATCTTAATAGATGCAGAAAAAATTGCCAAATTTAACACCTTTTTAAAAACAATGAACACTTAAAGTAGGTGATATGGTTTGGCTGTGTCCCCACCCAAATCTCACCTTGAATTGTAATAATCCCCATGTGTCAAGGGTGGGGTCACGTGGAGATAACTGAATCTTGGGGGCAGTTCCCCCATACTGTTCCTTAGTAGTAAATACATCTCAGGAGACCTGATGGTTTTATAACCGGAAGTTCCCCTACACAAGCTCTCTTGTCTGTTTCCATTTAAGACATTATTTTGCTCCTCGTTTGCCTTCTGCCATGACTGTGAGGCCTCCTCAGCAATGTGAAACTGAGTCAATTAAGCCTCTTTCATTTATAAAGTACCCAGTCTTGGGTATGCATTTATTAGCAGTGTGAGAACAGACTAATACAGGAGGAATGGAAGAAAATTACTTCAACATATTATAGACCATGTTTGAAAACAGCTACCATCATATTCAACATTGAAGAACTGAAAGCTCTTCTTCTAAGAGCAGTAACAAGATAAGAATGCCCATTCTTGTTGTTTCTATTCAACATACTACTGTAAGTCCTAGCTGAAGCAATTAAGCCAAAAAAATAAAAAATAAATAAAAGAGAGAAAACAGAAAAAAGAAAATAAATGAAAGGCATCATAAAGGAAAATTAAATTATTTTTGTTTGCAAATGACATGATTGTAAACACAGAAAACATTAAACACTTTTACAGAAAAACCTATTAGAATTAATAAATAAATGCAGCAAAGTTGCATGACACTAAATCAATATACAAAAAAATTTCTATATACTAGCAATAAAAAGAATTATAAAGGAAATTAAGAAAACAATCCCATTTATGATAGCATCAAAATGAATAAAATACTTAGGATTTAACTAAGGAGACAAAAGATTAGTTCAGTAAAAACTACAAAGCACTGGCTGGGCACAGTGGCTCACGCCTGTAATCCCAGCACTTTGGGAGGCCGAGGCAGGAGTATCACAAGGTCAGGAGATCAAGACCACCCTGGCTAACACGGTGAAACCCCATCTCTACTAAAAATACAAAAATTAGCCGGGCATGGTGGCAGGCGCCTCTAGTCCCAGCTACTTGGGAGGCTGAGGCAGGAGAATGGCGTGAACCCAGGAGGCGGAGCTTGCTGTGAGCCGAGATTGTGCCACTGCCCTCCAGCCTGGGCGACAGAGCCAGACTCCGTCTCAAAAAAAAAAGAAAACTACAAAGCACTGCTGAAAGAAATTAAAGAAGACACAAATACAAAGAAATGCATGCTGTGTTTATGGATTGAAAGAATTAATATTGTTAAAATATCATACTACCTAAAGCAATCTATAGATTCAATGCAATCCCCATCAAAATCTCAATGACATTTTATTTTTGTAGAAATAGAAAAAAATACTAGAATTCTTATGAAACCACAAAGGAACCTGAATATCCAAGACAATCTCAAGAAGAAAGAATACGTCTGGACATCTCATATTTCCTTATTTCAAAACATATTCTAAGCTAGGGTAATCAAAACAGTATGGTACTGGCATAAAGATAGACATACAGACCATGGGACACAAGAGAGAAACTACCAATAATCCGGTCTACTTATACAGTCAAATGATCTTTGACAAGAGTGCCAAGACTCTACAATGGGGGAAAGAAACACAAAAAGTGTAAGAGAAACTAGATACCCACATGCAAAAGAATAATTAAACCTTTATCTTACACCATGCCCCAAAATCAACTTAAAATGTAGTAAATATTTAAATATAAGACCTAAAAATATAAAACTTCTAGAAGAAAACATAGAGGAAAAGCTTCGTAACATTGGTTCTGGACAATGATTTATTGGATATGACACCAAAAACACAAGCAATAAAAGCAAAATTAGACAAGTGAAACTACATCAAACTTAAAAACATTTGCATAGCAAATGAAACGATCAACAAAGTAAAAATGCATCCTATGAAATGGGAGAAAATACTTGCAAACCATTAAGGTGATAAGGGATCAATATCCAAAATATATACAGAAATACTACGATTCAATAGTTAAAAATAACAAATAACCTGATTTAAAATGGGCCAAAACTTGAATAGATATTTACTTAGACTTACAAATGGCCAACTGGTATAAGAAAAGGTGCTCAACATCACTAATTAACAGGGAAATGCCCATCACAAACACAATGAGACATTACCTCACACCTGTTAGGATGGCCATTATCAAAAATGTAAAAACCAGAAATGACAAATGTTGGCAAAGATGTGGAGAAATTGGAAGCTTTGTGCACTGTTAGTAGCAGTATAAAATGAGACAGCCGTTATGGAAAACAGAATGGAGGTTCCTCAAAAAATTAAAAATAAAACCACCATGTAATTCAGCCATTCAATTTCTGGGTATTTATTCAAAAGAATTGAAAACAGTATCTCAAAGAGACATATACACTCCCTTATTCATTGCAGCATTGTTCATATTAGCCAAGAGACACAAACCAGCTAAATGTTCATTGATGGATAAGGAATATGTATATACATACAGTGAAATATTATTAATCCTTTAAAAGGAAGGCTGTTCAAAAAGAAGAATATTGTCATATTCTAGAAAACAAATGAACCTTGAGGACATTATGCTAAATGAAATTAGTCACAGAAGGACAAGTACTACATGATTCCACAGACAAGTACTACATGATTCCACTTATACGAAGTATTTAAAGAATTCAAAGTCTTAGAAGCATAAAGGAGAATGGTAGTTGCCAGGGACTGTGGAAGGGGAAATGAGGAGTTACTCTTCAATGGGTGTTCAGTTTCAGTCCTGGAAGATGAAAAAGTTACAGAGATTGGCTCTACAATAATGTGCATACAGTTAACAATACTGTACCATACATTAAAATTTGCTTAACAAGGTAGTTTTCATGCTATGTGCTCTTTACCACAATAAAAAATAATCCAGTAATAGTTCCTGAAAAATTTTAATTACACCTCGTTAACTCTTCCATGCTGAGAAAGACTGCTTGCTGTAATTATTTACTGGGACTTGATGATTTACTTGGAGGCAAATGCAATTACAGCCTGACACCTTAATCACCATTAGTTTGTTTTGCTCCCTTGCCACTGTTAAAAGGAAGGTTAACTTTCTGTGGATATTCTGATCCACCTATAATGGGTTTTCTTTGTATTCTTGAGACTGTAAATAATCTATATTGTTAAATGTGTGGAAAAAATCCCAATTAAGATTTAACTAGGACTAACTAATAAACCCTAAAGATAAACCTCACACTTGCAGTAAAACAGTTTTATACCTTAAAACACTAAGATGATTTTTTAATTAAATGTATTTATCTAGATTATAACTATACATTGTCTGAAACAGTTGTTTAAAATTCTAGAGAAATATCTTTTTTGAAATTGTACAAATAAAACTGCAACTAACTTTTGTATTTTGATTCTAGACTACTTCCCAATTAAGACTTTCAAATCTTTAGTTAATTCTTCATATAAACATAATTCTTAATCACAAATCAGCTTGGGAGTATAAATTAGTTTAACCACTGTGGAAGACAGTATGACAATTCCTCAAGGATCTAGAACTAGAAATACCATTTGACCCAGCAATCCCATTACTGGGCATATACCCAAAGGATTATAAATCATTCTACTATAAAAACCCATGTACACATATGTTTATTGTGTCACTATTCACAATAACAAAGACTTGGAACCAACCCAAATGTCCACCAATGATAGAGTGGATAAAGAAAGTGTGGCACATATATACCATAGAATACTATGCAGCCATAAAAAAGGATGAGCTCATGTCCTTTGTAGGGACATGGATGAAGCTGGAAACCATCATTCTCAGCAAACTAACACAAGAACAGAAAACCAAACACCGCATATTGTCACTCACAAGTGGGAGTTGAACAATGAGAACACATGGACACAGGGAGGGGAACGTCACACATTGGGGCCAACCAGGGGGTGGGAAGCTAGGGGAGGGATAGCATTAGGAGAAATACCTAATGTAGGTGATGGGTTGATGTGTGCAGCAAACCACCATGGTATGTGTATACCTATGTAACAAATGTGCACGTTCTGCACATGTATCCCAGAACTTAAAGTATAATAAAAAAATTCTTAATTAATATTTTATTATCAACTTTAAAAGACTCAGAGTAATATGCTGACTTCCCCAATTTAAAATGGTGAAGTAAGTTTGGCACTTTCTTTTGTTCTTTTAGAGATCTGCTCAAATCTTCAGGAGAATTAGAAATTAGAAAACAGAAATGTATATTTAACTTTAGTGACACAAGGAGCAATCTAAAACTTCACATCACAAAACAGGAAGAAGGGCTGCCAAAAACAGTGAATATCAAGCAGGAGAATGGTGTCTTGTTTCAGTTTATATTTAATTAATGCATGAATTGCATTTAATTTCATATGCTTCTATTTGTAATTATCACTGTGTATTTTGTTTTATTTTTGTCTAATTTCCTTTGGGCTGTACATAATTTCCTACATGAATATTTTATATATACAGGTTATTAATCCCAATACTATTTATAGACTGATATGTCTTCCTTCATCATTTATTTGAAAGGCTATCTTCATTATTTATTCAATCTCCATATATTTGGTGGGTTATTTCAGAACTCATATTGCATCAACAACAGTACTGTTATATAGCATTACAAAATATTTAGATTTTAGTAGGACACACTTAAAAACTACTTGAGTTGTTTTTAGTTATTTTGGCTAATTATTGCAAATTTATTATTCACTTGAACTTTAAAATTGGTTTTCAAGACCCATGAGGAATTCAGTTCTAACATTTCTTGGAATTAAATTGCCTTTACAGATTAATGTGAGGAATATTTAAAATAGTGAGTCATGCTATCTGTAATGATAGACTGCCTCTCTATTAATTTAGAATGTTTTACAGCTACCAGTAAAGCTTTGCAGTGTTTTCCATGACATTCTTGCACTTTTCTTGTTAGGCTTACTCCTAAGCATGTCTCAATATTTGTTGCTACTGAAAATGTAATGCTTTTCCATTACATTTCCTAATATATTATTGTTGCCATACAAGAAAATTTGACTTGTGTGTGTCTGTTGATTTTGGATCTTTCCATCTTGATAAACTGTCTTATTGGACTTCACAGCTGTGGATTAATTATTCTGGTTTTGGTTTGCTCCTAGCTGACAACAGCATATGCAAATAATGATTTTTGATGTTGTTTTTCCAATATTTATATTCATTGTCACTGTTCCTTGTGTTATTGCATTGGCTCGAATCTCCAATATAATGTTGAATAGTAGTAATTTTATCAAAGATCCTCATTTTATTTCCTACTTTAATAGAACTCATTCAGTAAATAAATACTTATTACATGTTTATAGTGTACCAGAGTATATGCTAGGGATAAAGGTTCTAGTGATAAAGTTGTGGAAAAGTCTGATAAAGTCCTTGCTTTTATAGCACTATTTGTAGTAGAGAAGACAAGATGTACAAGTAAATAAATAAATGAATACATTTAAAAGTTAACATGACTAATTTCATATAATGTCAAAGTTGTGAAGGAAATAAAACATAAATTCAGTGAAGAAAGATTTAACAGGGATTAGTGTAACATTAGAAAATACAGCCAGATAAGCTTTCTTTATTAAATGATATTGAAACATAGCCTTTAACTATGAGAAGGATCCTGCCATGTTAAAATCATGTGGAAGAGAGTTCCAGACAGGCAAAAGTAAAAGTAAATCTCAGGACACTAAGAGGCTAGCACATTTACCACGAGGGAAGAGAGGAGGGAGTGATGGTAGGTGTTTAATGAACATGTTTGTTTCTTCTGTAGTTGTTAATCTATTTTTGTCTAATTTTGTTAATTTATACATTCCTACAGATTTTCCCTTTTGCCTAGGTTTTCAAAAGCACTGATATAAGATGACATGGTACATTTTAATATTTTAGATCTGCTCTTATCCTATTTTGTGTTCCTAATATTGTCTTTTTCTGTCCTTTTTTATATTCAGTCATACTCATCAAGGTTTTTTTTATTATTGAGCTTTTTACTATCTTCTCACTTCAATGATTTTATAATATCTTATAACTTTTCCAGGATTTTTATTTTTATTGGAAGAGTTGGTCCAAATTACTCATTATACTACTATTGGAAGCAAAAGTCCTAAATCGTTTTTAAAAGGCTGCAGCCTTCTAATCTCTTTCGATGTAAACTGAGTAATGAAAGCCCACAATAACATTATATAATACATCAAGTATTTGGTAATTAATAGGTAAAATTAAAATCTGTGATGATTTGTCCTAAATTTATATTTATTTAATCAAAACATTTATTTACTAAGCCAGACTGCTGTATTTTAAGAATTGTGCTTTAGGAACATTCAAAAATAAAGAGTTTGTGGCCCCTCCATCAAGGTGTTCAGAGATAAGGGACCTGATATTAAAGAAACATAACGTAAATCACGTACAGAATTAGGATTTAAACAGAATTGTAGGGAACTTAGATGGAAGGAAAACCTTTGAAATCTTTTCCCAAAAAGGACTTTGTGCTTGCATAATAGCTTTATTTTTAAAGTCCTTTTCCTTTGTTGACATTGCTTTAGAATTCTTATTTGTATTCTTCATTTTATTCTTCCCTAGGGTTTAATGCCCTCTGATGAAGAACTGAACTGTTATGTAAAATAGGTATTTTGATGTCTTCAAATCACCATATCTCAATCTGCATTAAAGCTAAGGGAATGACTAGGAAAATAACAAGATCCAGGACCATACAAATGATAATATGTTCCCCTTAAACTTCCCTGCAAATAATTTGGTCAGTGATATGGTTTGGCTGTGTCCCCACCCAAATCTCAACTTAAATTGTATCTCCCAGAATTCCCACATGTTGTGAGAGGGATCCCGGGGGGGTAATTGAATCATGAGGGCCGGTTTTTCCCATGCTATTCTCATGATAGTGAGTAAGTCTCACAAGACCTGATGGTTTTATCAGGAGTTTCTGCTTTTGCTTCTTCCTTATGTTCTCTTGCTGTCACCATGCAAGAAGTGCCTTTCACCTCCTGCCATGATTCTGAGGCCTCCCCAGCCATGTAGAACTGTAAGTCCAATTAAAACTCTTTTTCTTCCCAGTCTTGGGTATGTCCTCATCAGCAGCATGAAAATGGACTAATATAGTCAGGTACAATGAGAAAGTGTGAAATTGGAAAAAAGAATGGAGCCTGTATTTTAACATTGGAACAAATACATTTTTGTGAAATCAACTTCTTCAAGCTAGACTTAGACCATGGTGCTGTGTAATCACAAGTCATGGCATACAATATGGTATCTATAAAATTATCATCTTTTATTTAGATTTTACTTGAGACCCAAGTTCTGGGTCACAACACATATAAATGAATAACCACAATATCATGTGATTACTTACAAATCTAATTTTCTAAATACTATATGAGGGTAAAAGAAAGCTCTTTCTGGTAGGATTGGAAGACACATTCACAGAGGAAATAACATTTCAGTTGGTTCTTAAAGAATGAGTTAATCTTAAACAGAAAGAAATTAGAAGGAAGAACATGCTGGACAGTAGAAACAATATGGATAAAAGCATGGAGATTTAATTGTGCACATAGACTTGGGAGAATTAAATATCTGGAGATAGGGCTAATATGGTAAATCAAATTCATATTGAGGTTTATGAATATCATACAATAAAGGTTAACTCTTTTACTCAAAATGTGTTCTACTATCCTCTTGGAAGACATTTTTGTGAGTCAACTATAATAAATAAAAAAATATTGGAGGAGGTTATTTAGCAGTTTGTTGGTATTTTTGAGGAAATATCTGTGAGAATGGAGAAGAGAAAAAAAGTTAAAAAACATTTACAAGTTGAAATTGATGTTTTTAAGTGTAGAAGCTATTACTTATTTATAAATAATTTCAAGTACTTAAGCTAATCTGTTTGGCTTCAAGGCATTCCAAAAACAAGAGAGTATATTCTATCAAGCATGAAGAGATTACCACTGAATATATAAAACCTAAAACTAAAAATACTAACTTTAGCCTGTGAAGTCACCAACTAAGATACTGTTGTACAGTCATGTGTCACTTAACAATAGGAATACATTCTGAGAAATGCAGCATTAAGCAATTCTGTTGTGTGAACATCAGAGTGTATTTACACAATGGTACACTCTATGTGTAAGTATGCTGTATGATGTACATACCCAGCGTATATATCATACTACCCGAGGTGTGTAGTGCAACAACTGGTATAGCTTATTGCCCCTAGGCTACAAACCTGTACAGCATGTTACTATAATGAATATCATAGGTAATTGTAACACAGTGGTAAGTGTTTGTGTATCTAAACATAGAAAAGGTAAGGTAAAATATGATATAAAAGAAAAAAAGGTATACCTGTATAGGGTACTT
This sequence comes from Homo sapiens, assembly GCF_000001405.40. NCBI lineage: Eukaryota > Metazoa > Chordata > Mammalia > Primates > Hominidae > Homo > Homo sapiens. The sequence goes on along the minus strand of NC_000004.12, from coordinate 129,631,468 downwards.
ACCATGGATGGAGCTTACAGTACTGGAAGTTGCTCTGGGTGAGTCAGTGTGAGTGCTGAGTGAATGTGAAGGCATAGGACATTACTGTACACTACAGCAGATTTTATAAATACTGTACATGTAGGTTACATCAAATTTATTTTAAAAAATCTTTCTCTTATAACAAATAAGTCTTAGCTTACTGTAACTTTTTTACTTTATAAACTTTTTAACTTCTTCACTCTTTTGCAATAACACATAGCTTAAAATACACAGCTGTATAAAAAATGTATCCTTATTCTATAAACTTTTTATATTAACTTTTTAAAAATTTTTAAACTTTGTTTTTAGAAACTATGCCATAAACACTCACATTAACCTACTCCTAAAAAGGCTCAGGATCATCACTATCACTGTCTTCTACTTCCACATCTTGTCCCACTGGAAGGTCTTCAGGGGCAATAGTATACATAGAGTTGTCACCTTTTATGATAACAACACCTTTTTCCAGACTACTTCCTGAAGAAACTGCCTGAGGCTGTTTTACAGTTAACTATTCTTTAATAAGTAGAAGGAGTATGCTCCAAAATACCAATAAAAACATAATATAGTAAATACACAGACCAGCAACATTGTCATTTATTATCAAGTATTATATATGGTATGTAATTGTATATACTATACTTTTATAAGACTGGCAGCACAGTAGGCTTGTTTACACCAGCATCACCACAAACATGAGTACATTGTGCTACTACATTATGACAGCTGTGACATCAATAGGTAATAGGAATTTTTTCACTTCCATTATAATCTTATGAGACCACCACCATATATGTGGTCTGTCATTGACCAAAACATACTTATGTGGCCCATGACTGTATTTTAAAATTTACTCTGAGCTCCATAAATGCCAAGACAGAAAGCAAAATTTTAAGTATATAAATTTCTAGTGATCCTATTTTTAAAATAAGGATAGAATATAAAGTACCTATAGGATTGATTCTCTGTTTGGATTGGGGACTGGCTGTATCAATTTTACCTGAGGAACATTTGAAAATGCATATTCTGGAGGTCCATCCCTGAGCTGCTGCCACCAGGGAGTCTGAGCTCTGATTTTGCACTGTAGTGGTGATGAGTTTGTTGGCTTGATTTTTACCTATGAGGGATTAATATCAAATCTGTTTTTTACAAAGGTAATTCTGATATCCAATCTATAATTCCCCCTTTGCAACCTAAGCACACATGAACAGAAGTTTACATCTTTGTCAACCTCTTTTGAAAGATCATCCACCTGAGATACAAAAGTTTGGAAGCAAAAAACAGATGTAAATATAAAGTCTAATAAGTCGTCTATCTTAAAGAAATATCAAACACTGTTTTCCCTAAATGAATGTTTTACTCCATTTTCAGACTTTTCCAAGAGAATGCTAAAGACAGAGTTATCATCTGTTTCATTATTTAGTGAGACTCAAGAGAAGATACCATTTTAAGATATTTATGTTTACCAAAGACATAAAACACAATAAAGATATTTACTTGGTAAATAATAGGAAGTTAAAGAAGGTGTCTAATACTCATGGGGATCTCAATCTCAGGTGTCCAAAGAGCCCAGTGGTTTGTATAAGTTTTTATTCTTCCTGTTTTATGACCCTGCTACAGATATAAAGAGGCCATGAAATTTCTCTTTGTTTATTTACTTTATATTTCAGTCTCTCTGATTCTGTACCATTATATTTTTTACCTGTTTATCCAAATTAAGACAAATGCTCAATTTTCTCTAACCGATAGCACTTTGGCATATGAGCAATTTTGGATTATTTTTCAAAATAACCTAATTTTTGTCTTGAAGAATATCCATATATGTGTGTGTATAAATGTGTTATATGTATTTTTATATGTGTCTATATTGTGAATAAAATCTATGTATTTACTTTTATATTTGAATATATTTTAAAGTGATTTCAGCTTTTCTAGAAATATTCCTTTTAAATGGAAATCACTTAAAGTGACAAAGTGTTGTGGTGGTCAGCAATTAGCAGCCAAAAATAGCAGCTGGAAAGAAGTAAATGAGCTGCCTCAATTATGTGCTCTATTCTTTTGAAGAATCTCCCCTTATAGTATAAATTTTGTCAGGACAAAACAATAACAAGAAATGGTATCTTTTGCTACTTTTCATGTTTCCTATCTAAAATTTAGTTGGAATTTAAAAACATAGCAGCTTTCCACTAGTGTCAGATAGATAACACATATCAGATCAGCAATATAAAAATGTCAAAAATTTCCATTTTAGAATAGGAAAGTCACCTTTTCATTCTTTATTTAGACTGTCATTTATTGTCATTAGATATTTCTATTTTTGTTATTTCATGGTTAAATGTCCTTTTCAGAAACCCTCATGTATATTTTTTCTAAGACCCACAATTATCTCTCATTTTTTATAACTTTCTCTGCATATATCATAAGTGCTTTAAGTATGATAATGTAAAACTATGATAATGACAGTATTGAAACAAAAATGGGTATGATGAGGAATCTTAGTGCAATCAGAATACCAATTACAGCATACTCTCATATATGCTCAATTAGATAGGGAAGGGGAATATTTTTAGACATTTCTTTTACCAAGAAGATATGACATCTAGGCAGAAGGAAAAGGACAACTTCATTTTAAGTACGTGTTTAAATACCTCATAATAACTATCAGAACGGAATAAAGGTTACCTTGATAGAGTTTGCTGTTTTGTAGCAGTTCTGCATGACTTTCTAAAGAGACAAATTTATATTCCTATAGTTAATGATGATGTATCTATAAATGTTTAGAATGTTTTCATTTCTACTTTAAAAAGGAAATGTGCATTCTGTTTAGTAATATAGCCTATAATCCCCTTCACACATATAGATTTAAACAATGTTTTTCAGTGCAAAAGTAGCATTCAACCTGAAGTCAAACTTAATTGCAGAATAGAATGTATTTTAGGTTAATTTAGAGAAATAGTTGTAACATTTCAGTAACATTAATAAGCATGATGAGAACAACTTATTCCATTTCCTCAAACGTTACCACAAAATCTCTTAATAATAAGTTGATTTCTAGCCTTAATATTAGTTGATTTTAATTCTGGTGTATATTTTTCTGTCTACTTTAATGTTTATTAAGATCGCAAATTCAAAAATACCTTTTTGACATTCATCTAGTACTATAACCTAGGTGGTATGAACATTTGGCCCAATATACAGCTCTGATTAATTCTTGACCCACGTTTTCAGGACTGAATTCTATAAGTAGAGGGATACTTTTCAATAAGATTTTAAGAAGGAGACTAAATTTCTATGTTGTCTTTGCTGGTCTCTGATTTGTGAGTAAAGCCCAAAAGCTATAAACCAAACATGTAAATTATCCACATTCTAAATTATCAGAATTCACTGAACTAGTAGTTCACTGAACTAGTAAAATTTAATTGACATACCCTTTCTTCTAAATTAGCATCATCCAATAGAAATAAAATGCAAGTGAAGAGGAGGAAAAATGTATTTTTTCTTATCTATCCTAGATTTGTGGCTGAGGACCCCCATCACAAAAGACAGATTATCAAGGGAAAAGCACACATATTTATTTAAGTTTTATATGACATCGAAGCCTACTTCAGGAAATGAAGACCCAAAGAAATGGTTAAAGTTGTGTATTTTTACACTAGATTTAATGAGTAGTAGACAGTTATGGAGAAATACGATTGGACAAAGAGAATGATCTAATGGTAATAAACTGGGGAAAACAGGAAGGCCAGTTTCTTCAGATTCTTCTCTGTGAGTGTTTATCTTCAGGAATACTATATTCCTTTGTTCTGGGTATAGGAAGTTCACCTCTCACAACAGGGCCTTAAGATCTGCATTAATGGTAGATCAGAAAATCATTCCTTGATTTTTATGAGCTGCTTCAGGAGAAAAGGGTGGGTGAGGGTGAGAGTGACCTTTCTGCTTCTGTACTTTTTCTCAAATCTCAAAGTACCATATTTTGGGATAACATGTACTGAATCCCATCACAAGCCACAAATATAACCAAGTTTTCTTATAGCCAAATTAATACAAAGAACAGGTAAAATTAATGTTGATAACATAGTATCTAAACAAATACATTCAAAATATTTTCAACATATAATAAATGTAATAAAATGGTAATTCATACATCTTTTCATATCCTAAGTCTTTGAAATTGGATGTGTGTTTTACAGTTATCAACACAAATCAGTTACCACCAACCAGCTTTTAAATACTGGTACATATGTTCAGCAGCTACCAAAATTGATATGGCAGGACTAGGAAAGAAGAGATACCCTATTAGAGGAGAAGCGTTCCTATGGAAAGCCTATCATTAGACTACAGAAAATAGCCCTAACTTTTGTGAACTTTGAGGGGACCAATGTCCACTGGCCACATAGTGAAGGGATACAGTCTTTTTGTTTCCTAATTAATCATCTGGGGGAATATCTGGTCTACATGCCATTCTCCCTCTACCTACCCATGAAGGGGAAGAAATAAGAGAGAGGTGGTATAGGGGAAGACCGACAGGTAAGGAGTGGGTGAGGCCACTCTGCTTTGAAATCCTGGTTCTCACAGGAGGCCAAAGCCTGAATTGGCCATGGAGGGAAGATTGTATTGGGGTCACTAGAGTAGCAGAAGAAAGAAACTCACATATCAGAAGAATATCTCATGACGATTCCAACAGCTGGAAGTCAGGGAGAAAATTTAGTCAAACCTTCCTAGGAACCATACTTAAGAGCTGTTCTGAGACTCTTATGGGTGGAGCAAGATGAAGCTACCAGCTGCCACCAGGAATCCCATAAATGATGAGGCAAACAAAGAGAAGCTAAAACTTCTCCTAAGCAAGTAAGAGGATATCTGCCTTTTCTCTCTTGCTTTTCCACCCAACACTGGAGGAGCCAGTAGGGGTGGGTGTGGAAGAAGGGGTGGTGTATGAAAAGCAGACTACAGACCAATCCTCGTCTCTCCCTGCACATCAGTAGAGCCAAGGCTCTGAACTATTCTGGGAGCATGAAATAACTTTGAATCAGGATTGAGTCTTAAAATGGAATAAGATTGTTTAAAAAACTAAAACTACTCCGGGTTTCAAAAGCTGACCTGTGTCATTAAAGGGGTGACACCCCGAGATCAGGAAAGATTTGGTACAGAATGATTAAGAACATGACTGGGGAAAAACTAAAGCCAAATTCCGTCTTCATATCCCAATGACTTGTGGCTTCACAATAAGCTAGGTAAATATATGCCATTTCCGACAAATTATTGTAGATGAAATGTTTAAAACATAACATGTGTAGGACAGTTTGAAATAAGACATGGAGCTTGGAGAAGGGTATTGGGAGAAAACCCTAACTAGGTATGTAAAGACAGATTGGGTATCCCCTCAAATGCCAGAAAGAAGGAGAATGTACTTTTTCTTGAAGACAAACAGTGGCCAAAGTTTTTGATCAGGAAAGTGACAAGATTAGATCCATTAGAAAGATTAAAATTGGAGATTTATCCTGGAGTTTAGAGTAGAAGGAATATGGGAACTAGAAAGATCAATTATTCACTAGTTATAACAAGCAAGAAGGCATAGGTAATCTCAAAAATGAATGGAAAGGAGAAGATAGATTTGAGACTATTTGAGAAACAATTCTGATAGGGAATTTTCAAGACATGATGACTGATTGTTTGTAGGTAACAGAGAGAGAGAGAGAGAGAAAGAGAGCATGAAAAGAGCTTTCTGCCCTCCAGGATGAATGGGAATGGTGGGTTGATGAATGTCTGAAACAAAAATGAAAAGCAGTGAAAGGGAAGGCATGGGTGCTCCTAAAGTTTGAGATACTTGAGGGACATCTGAGAGCCTTTGTCCATAAACTAAGCATTGTAACTAAAGATCTGAAACTAAAGAGAGATGTCAGCAATAAAGATATAAAATCAACATGCAAAAATCACAAGCATTCCTATACACCAATAATAGACAGAGAGCCAAATCATGAGTGAACACCCATTCACAATTGCTACAAAGATAGTAAAATACCTAGGAATACAACTTACAAGGGATGTGAAGGACCTCTTTAAGGAGAACTACAAGCCACTGCTCAAGGAAATAAGAGAGGGCACAAACAAATGGAAAAACATTCCATGCTCATGGATAGGAAGAATCAATATCATGAAAATGACCATACTGCCCAAAGTAATTTATAGATTCAATGCTATCTCCATCAAGCTACTATTGACTTTCTTCATGGAGTTAGAAAAAACTGCTAATAATTTCATCTAAAACCAAAAAAGAGCCTGTATAGCCAAGACAATCCTAAGCAAATAGAACAAAGCTGGAGGCATCATGCTACCTGACTTCAAACTATACTACAAGCCTACAGTAACCAAAAGAGCATGGTACTGGTAGCAAAACAGACATATAGACCGATGGAACAGAACAGAGGTCTCAGAAATAATGCCACACATCTACAACCATCTGATCTTTGACAAACCTGACAAAACAAGAAATGGGGAAAGGAATCCCTATTTAATAAATGGCGTTGGGAAAACTGGCTAGCGGAAAACTGAAACTGGACCCCTTCCTTACACCTTATGCAAAATTTAACTCAAGTTGGAGTAAAGATGTAAACGTAAGACCTAAAACCATAAAAACCCTAGAAGAAAACCTAGGCAATACCATTCAGGACATAGGAATGGGCAAAGACTTCATGACTAAAACACCAAAAGCAATGGCAACAAAAGCCAAAATTGACAAATGGGATCTAATTAAACTAAAGAGCTTCTGCACAGCAAAAGAAACTATCATCAGAGTGAAAAGACAACCTATAGAATGGGAGAAATTTTTTGCAATCTATCCATCTGACAAAGGGCTAATATCCAGAATCTACAAGGAACTTAAACAAACTTACAAGAAAGAAAGAAACAATCCCATCAAAAAGTGGGCAAAGGATATGAACAGACACTTCTCAAAAGAAGACATTTATGTGGCCAACAAACATATAAAAAAAGCTTCTCATCACTGGTCATTAGAGACTACATTCAGTCTTTAACCAAGATTTTAAAAAATGTGATAATAAAATTTAAACAAATCAAAATTGCTTTTCTCTTGTGTTGGAACAATGGGAGAAAAAGAGATGAATAATGGATTGTTTAACCTTTTACATTTTGCTTGATTTAAAAATATGCCAGCTTGAGTATTCACATCAAAGGATCATAGATTTTAGCTTACACTTCTAAGGAAGTATTTTGACCAATAGTTGTTTTAAAACATTAGAAATTTTAATAGGTTAATATTCTTTATAGTTTCTGTAAAAGAGAGCATAGTTTTCAGAAGAATGATGTGAATATAAATAGAAACCTAAGCTATGTATTTTAATGTTTTGTTTTTGTTTTGCCTCTGAAAAACTAAAAGAATAACACAGATGGTTTTATCTATTTAGGATATACCTGCATTTGTATTAACCATGACCATCTTTCTAAAACAATCCCAAGGCAGAAGAGAAATGAGAAGGCTGAATTTAAAGAAAGAAACTCTATCAAATTTGAACCCATTTTAAAAGTCATTTCCTTCTTATAACATTTAATATTATAATTTCATAGGCACCTGTCTTAATATTTCTTTGCAAGGAAATTTTATAAGGTGAGACTGCTCAAATTTGAAAAAAAAAATTTAGGGCAAAGTCCAGTTCATCAGTAAATGTGATACTTAAAGTTAAAAGATAACAATGCACAAAAATGGGTAATTGCCATCTGTCTCATAAAAACACAGAAGCCTACGCAATGCCAACCAATATGTTCTGTCAAAAAAGTTGACTTAAAATATGTTCTGCTAACACTAAAATGGCAATAAGCAACTTGAAGGGAAACGTATACTTGACCAAATTGTCCCCTACAGCTCATAAACACCTCTGTCTGTGCCCTTGGAGTTTATCAGGGCTGTGGGAGACATTTATTGACGTTTACTTGATCTCCTATTGCCAAAACACACCAAGGTTAACACAGTTACTCAATACATTTGATGCAGCCAGGAAAATGCTTGACTGAAAAATGTGGGCAATTTAACAAAGCAAGCAGCAACTGCCTACAGGAAGCTCTACAACCACAATTATTTCAAAATGTCACAGTTAACCCAGTGCCATGACAGCTGCACTCGGTGAGCACACCTCAAGACTGTCTGTTAAGAAGAGGCAGGTTGCCTTTTAAGTAGAGATTTATTTTCATTCCTGAGTTATCCCTGGAATTTGGATCAAATTATTTTTTAGAAAGTCATGAAATAAAATATGTTGAAAAAATAAAACATACTTTTCATTCTTTGTATTTGATACCTAAATAATTTGAAACATTTTCTAATTCTCTAGAATAATTCATATAGCATTCTGTCTAACTACAGGAATATACATTAACCCAATTCAAAACATGAATCAGAATATACACCAGAAAACTTTGCCAATATGGAACATTCACTTACAATATTTGGTCTATGCCAATCTTCAGCAAGCAACTCAGTAATTAAACATAAACATACCACTTTTCCCATTGCTAATCAAGAAATCACAAAAATATATAGTAAATTAATAACTTTAGAGAGAGAATAGTTCAGAGGGCAGAAGCAACAAAAAGAAAGAAGCTAAGAATTTGAAACCCTTGTTGCCATTGACTTCAATGATCTTGGGTAAATCAACTTAACTTGCACTTCCACGCAAAACTCGTGACTGAAGATGATGTTGTGGTACAGTATTTTTACCACACTGTTAAATGTGCTATTTTTGTTGCTACAGGCAACCCATTAATGAACAATTCAGCTGGTCAGTAATTAAAGTTGATTTAAATACTACATGACCCTATGCCAATCAGCAAGAGGTACTTTTCTTCTATTCATGCTTTTTTGTTTCTATTCCACATTACAGGCAGGATGACTTGCTACTCAAATCACTTATATTTGCCTGCATTTTGCTAAAGAAATTTTAGTCTTTTTTTAAGTTATAAATTTTTTGAGATCATGCAAGAAAACTGGTAAAATTGATATGCATTTTAATCATTTCTGTCTCCTTCCTCACTCCCAATTAAAGCTTGACTTTGCAAAGAAGACCAATTTCTAAAATACATATTATCTTTGTATAATGCATAACCTAATCCACTACATGCTAATTCCAACAAATATTGATAGAGAGCCATTTACCAGTTTTAGATGAAAGATGTTTCTACTAACTCATTTTCTCTATTTGCTGATGCACTAAATGTAAAAAACACTTAAGTTCATTCCTAATGGAATATTTGACAACTCTTAGGTCATGCACTAGCATGCCTCCTTAGTAAACTGGGTCAGGTTTAAATCAAGCAAAAAGTAACATATTCTGCTATAATATTAAAAGGTAGCTGAAAGAGGGAAGTATTAATTAGCGGACTCATGTAAATAAGGTGGTATGAGCAAATTTAAATACTTATTTTTAGGCCTTAGTGCAATACACTGTAGAAAATGTTAAAGGAATATCTCATTTTAATTGACTTGTAACAGACTCCCTATTAGTCAATCACATAGTATGAAGTCAGGAAACACTAAAACTATGATATTTTTTGTGCCTTCTTGCTCCAAGTGCTAATATTTAATCCTTTTATATTTATAGAGAGCTGATTTCCTCTGCAATTTCTTTCCTTGTAATAAAAGGAGTAGTGTAAAAATAAAATATAAGGAGTATGGTTTCAAATTCAAGAAAATACTCTGTGACACATAATATACTAGAATATATTTTTACTTTAATAAAGTCCCGGCCAGGCGCTGGGAATCCCAGTACTTTGGGAGGCTGAGGAGGGTGGATGGCCTGAGCTCATGAGTTCGAGACCACCCAGAGCAACTTGGTGAAACCCCTGTCTCTACTAAAAATACAAAAAAAATTAACCAGATGTGGTGGTGCGTGCCTGTAGTCCCAGGTACTTGGGAGGCTGAGGCAGGAAAATTGCTTGAGCCCCAGAAGTGAAGGTTGCAGTGAGCCAAGGTCGTGCCACTGCACTCCAGCCTGGGCTACAGAGTGAGACTCCATCTCAAAAAAAAAAAAAAAAAAAAAAAAAAAAAGGGAAAGAAAAAAAGGCACCGCTTCCCAGATAATTTTTTAATAGCAATATACTTCCCACACAAAATTACATCCTCACCTTGTGGCTATGAACTGCTTAAGTTTTCATGTGGCATTTCTACATAAGTGAATTCCAGGTGAGGACTGTAGAGAAAAGTAGGATCAAGAGGTTTATATTCCCATTGCCTAACAACAAGAGCATATATTACATAAATGAGTGAATAAATAATAAAAATAACCTGACAAAAATTCTTCTGTAGTAAGCAAACAGGTTATTTCCTACGTATAAAAAAAAAAAAAAAAGCCAAAACAGAACAGCCAAGTGTGATTTCAAGCAGGTTACATGGTCTGGCATTTAACCGTCTTTTCTCAGAGCTAGTGATAAGGAAAGAATGCATGTCTCAGTAATGGTCAAAGGATTTGTATTAATATCTTCTAATTTGAGAATAAATTGGCAAAGCCAATGATTAAGCAGACTTAGGAAAGTCAAATAAAATTCTCAAAAGTAAAAACCTGTAAATATAAAGGCAAGACCACCTCATGAAAACAGGTCAGTAGGAAGGGCCACCAAGAAGTGTCATCTTCCAGAGTGCTGTGCTAAAATGAAGTTGTCAAAGCTGTAAGAGCAGAATATCTCCCTTAGATAGGACTTTCAATGGGATCTCAGAGGAGAGCAATATAAGTCTTCTACCTAAATCTGTCTCAGCTTCAGCTAAACTATTCCCTTCCCCACCTTCATAGTCTGAAAAGTTTTAGGAGAGGACATTGAAAGCATTTGAGAGAAAAAAAAATGAACTGATTCCAAATAAAATAGAAAGGCATATTAGTTAATTATGTAGCAGTAATGATGAATAATAACCCCAGGAATTGAGTGGTTACAAAAGACATTTCTTTCTGTCACTCATGTCACATTTCTGTCCGTGAAATGGCTATGATTCTCCTGGGCTCAGCTGGGAGAGTCTTGGATTGGTTCAAGGATTAGTGATTGGATTTAGTTCTATTCTACACATATTCTTATTCTGGGACCAACAGCTACCCAGAACATGTCCCTCTCATGGCAGAAGGTTGAAGTCCAGGAGGACAAGCTATCGTGCAAGTTTATGGCATTTGTTCATGACATATTCCATCGGTTGCTCATATTCCATCTTTGCTCACGTTCCATTGGTTATGGAATATGAAGTCCAAAATCAATGTCACAAGGTAAAGTCCAAATTCAATAAGGCAGGAAATTATACTCCTCTAATGGAGTCAGGGAGAGAATGCAAAATGTTAGAAGTACATCAAGTATCGAGGACAATCAGCTCATACTAAATCAGGTCAGCAAGATCTAAACAGACCTACTTAAATTTATTATGAGCAAGATGAAAAAAAAGTAGTGTAAAACTTACAAATATACTAAAGAAAAATTTATTTTAGTAGAGCACATAACCCAAGAAGCACTGAATTTTTTTTTTGCCAAAGTTTTTGCTCTATAGAAGACCTTAATAAAGTAATTCAATTAAGTTTCTAAGGATGAGAGGAAACATGATTGCTCAAAGGTAAGATGACATAAAAACAAACTACAAAGCAAGAGGGTATGTCAGAGCTAAGAAAATAAATTGAGAACCAAAACACACAATTTCTGAAACAATACACAAACGAAATAGCAGGAAACAGCACAGATATGACTAAAATCAAATAAAATTAATGTTGTATAGAAAGCTTAAGGTAATCAAAATGAACATAGAGAAAGAGGCAACAAGATTATAAAAACTAGAGTTATGATGATGGATAAAAAGGATGGGAAAGGAATAAACAGCATAAAGACAATTTGTGTTCCTTAAGTAGAAATTTCAAACAAACAAGAATAGGAAAACATCTATAGGTATAATACAGGAAAATGTCACTGAAGTGTAGAAAGAATTGAGTCTGTAGATTGAAATCAATATGTTTAGTTGAAAATTTTGATTTAGAGTGACTGAGATAGAAACAAATCATAGTTAAATTGTAGAAACTCAATAATAAAGAAAAAATTCTTCCACCATTCAATTTTTTCTTGAAGTCATCTATCAGAGGGGAGAAACTGAGGTTACCCTCAAACTTTCTCAGTATTATTCAATGCCAGTAAAACCAGAAGCACTATTTTATGAAGTTCCAAGGGAAGAAAAGTAATATCAAAGAAAAGCATACTGTTAAATAAAATGTATGAGAGGCCGCTGTTTTGAACTGAGCTCCCACACTAGACCCAACAGACCAGAACCAACCAGAACAGAATTATTCATGTTAGGGTGGTACCTAACCAAACAACTTAAAAACAGGTCAATTAAAAAAAATAAAAAAACAAAAACAAAAACCAGGGGATTCACAGCAACCAATCCAAACATGCCCAATCAACCTGACCCTGCATGGTACGGAGGACCCCTCTGCCTTGGCGCTATAAGGAAAGTCACCTGCAGTAAGTTGATGTTAGATGATGGCTCTTTGCAATATGCTGCTTCCTTGTTCCTGCTCAAGTTCCTTTTCAAAAACTGACTGTTTAGCCACCTGACAGAACATCTTTCATAGACGTGATACTGCCTAGTTGAAAAATAGCTAATAAAAGCCAATTAGATCTTTCAATTCAATTTGCTGAAATTTCATTATTTGACAATATTGAGTTGTCATTTAATTATAACACTGGGGGCATTTATTCTCTACAATGACAAACTTAGAGACTATGACACACATAAGCCCTCCTGGACAAAAATAGTACTCAATGATGACATGCAGGTGACCAAAAGTTGACTCAAATAAAGAGGTCAAGAATGGGGAAGCCATGGAAAAGGACTTGGTAGTAAGCAGTCTATCCATTTACATTCAGAGGAAAACCAGAGGAATTACGGCACATAATATAAATATTATGAATCTTTTCAAAATAAAAAATATAGGCCAAGCATGGTGGCTCACGCCTGTAATCCTAGCACTTTGGGAGGCCAAGGTGGGTGGATCACAAGGTCAGGAGTTTGAGACCAGCCTGGCCAATATGGTGAAAACCCATCTCTACTAAAAATACAAAAATTCACTGGACATGGCGGTGCATACCTGTAATCCCAGATACTCGGGAGGTTGAGGCAGAAGAATCGCTTGAACCCAGGAGGCAGAGGTTGCAGTGAGCCAAGATCACACCATTCCACTGAAGCCTGGGTGACAGAGTGAGATTCTGTCTCAAAAAAACAAACAAAAAAATAGAAACACAAGAAGAAAATGAACAACGTTAACTGCCTCTGAATTATAGTATTACTCCCCAGAATTGAAGTATTTGATTAGAAGAGAACGTGATGACTCTGAACTCTTAGCTATTTTTATTATTTTCCAGTTTAGGGGTAATTTTTAATAACTTTAGTTTTTAAATAACTAATTAATAATTGTTATTATTCAAACTAATAAATAATAGTCTGTGGTGAATTTTTGTCTGAAATTTAAATTTCCTTTAAGTTCTTCAATTTTTATTTTTTCAGACCAATTAAAGAAAAATAAGATTTAACATACAGCGATTTTAATAGCATAGAGTGCTACTATTACAAAACTATATGCCTACACATACAACCCTCTTGTTCTGTAATTATCTAAGTTCTATTTCCATACCAGCTTTGTCTTCAGACTGGCTTCACTTATGGTCACAAGATGGCAGTGGGCAGCAATCGGGGCTTAATCCAGACACTGGGTATGACTGTGCTTATTGTACACTGAGTAACTGTTGGGGCATCATTCACAATGGCTGATTTTTGCAGGTTATATGATGGTGGTCTTACACGAGGTATTTCTTCATTCACATCCAAAGATGGGAAAATTGTATTTCCTTCCCAAACCTAAAGAACACAAGGGCTGAAGTTCATCCTAATTGAGGCATCCTTGAATGAGCCCTCTAGCCAGGAGAACACCTTGTACTCTTTGGTTAAATACTAGGCTCACATGCTCATCACTGAACTAATTGCTCTGTCAAGAAGCATGGGATTCACAATCAGAGTTGAGTTAATTTCATCCAAATTGCATAACTGCTACACACTGGAAATAGATAGCAGGCTACACAGTGAAAAAGGAATACAATAGATGTGTGGAAAACAGTCAGAATTTTGCTGTAGAGGAGTTTCCAGGCAGGTTTAACAGCTAGTAAACAAAATGTATTACTTCTTTTCTAAATTGAAGTTATACTTTGTGACCCAAATATCTGCAAATCAAATGTACTAGCTATCTAGTCAAGCGTATTTTCTGAAATTTATAGATGCCTATTAGAAGCAAATAAATGTTCATAAACAATCTAAGAATCAACAAACACAATAACTTATCACTAAAGGTATTGAGAACACAGGAGCTCTAAAAGTATTGACTCATTGTAAATAATGCCCCAAGAGGGCTGATGTTTTTAAAGCTGAGCTTTAACACATAGTTCAGAGGTATAGTCTTACCTACAGCGCAGCTGATTTTATGAACAGGGGATATTTTCCAATACAAATACAGGGATGGCAAAACCCAGGAATAACATCTGGCTAAAAAACTATAGCCAGTCTATAGGCCGGTCAGCTGTGAAACAAATAGAAATAAACACATGGCAGATATAAAAATAAGAGAGTATCATCATGACAGTTTTTCAAAAAGTAGCACACATGCTCTCAGCAGGATGCAAGGTGAGGTTGATAAATGTTCAAATATGGCAGACCAAATGGCCAGGTACACCATCCCCTTTGGAAATATGGTTTTCAGAGTTGGAAAAAGACACATTAGATGACTCTATTGTTCTTCCAGTAGAAAAGATGTGACTGAAACTACACCATCTGACTTCTCAAGTAGGAAAGTGGATAGATTGCGTGCAAAAAAATATTGAATTATTACAGGACCTACAACTCATTAGTATAAAATAGGACAATAAAGTTGAAGAAAGCAAAGAACAATTTAAAATACTAAATTAAAAGGCATTGTTATTTGTTGAGAATTTGTTATATGTTAAGAATGACACTTAAAATATTTTGCCAAAAGTTGCAATAGGAGTTGATAAATGATTCATCTTACGAGAACAGAAATTTTTTACCCAGCTAAACTTAAAAATGGACACAGCCCCTAAATTAGGGATCCCGGAAAGAAGAATTTGTATTGAGTGATGAGCTGAACATATTTCAAGACAGATGATCAGAATTTCTGAGAAGTATGCTCTCCTCTTGTCGTAATAATGAGTGACATCATCATTTATAGCAGAGTTACTATCACCTACTGAGGCTCATCAACTCCAAAAAAAGGAAAATTCAATGAGCATCTGACTCCATTGTAGATTTTGCCTTGTTCCTGGATGGATACCATTCAATGTAGTTATTTCTGTCAGATTTGAAATTTAAGGAAATGATTAAGCCTTGTTTGGTATAATGGCTTATGGTTAATTAATTTCTAAGCCTTCATTTGTTTTTCTTTTATCATTTGCAAGAGAAGAGAAATGTCAAAAAATGATTTAAAGCAAGGATTAAATTACCTTTTTTATAGTTCTGATTGTTAACCTAGATTTATAAGCTTTCAGAGCATCTTCTTCAAGATGTTAAAAGGGGTCACAGAAAAACAGTTTTCAATTTAAAAAGATTGAAAGCCAAGCATCCACTTAAAAGTTGGTTAATACTTAGAATGCATTTTTCCATAGAAACAGTATAATAAGAAGTGTGTTTTGATATGCACTAAAAAGGCAAGGGATGGAAACTTTTACATAAGACATGGTTTGCTTTTTTAATATTAATTTTTGCTATAAAAACTACCTTGACTTTACTCCATCATAAATTTTTGCTACATGGAAACCTTATACCTAATACAATGCCTGACATCTAATAGAAAGATAAGCGCTCAATAAATATTTGCTAAATAAATTTACACTACCAAAAAAGAGGACCAAATCAGTTACATTGAACCATAGTTCCAATTACCTTGCTTTGTCTTTTTTTCAGATTGTTAAACAAATAGTCGATTGAACATATGCAACAGACGAAGTACTACAATATATATTCCTGAAAAGGAATTACAATCTACTGAGAGAAAATACAAAAATAATGTGGTCTAGCAAATAGTAGAAATTAAATAGTTGAAAGAAAACATAATACTGCATAGACTGGGCATGATATAGGAGATTTTTCTAAGTTCAGAATTGTTAATGCTGGTTTTTAAGTGTAAGTAATTAGATTTGATGTCCACTTTATCAGCATGTGACCAATACTGAAATACTATTTTATCTTTAACCAGGGGCTAGAGAAACACCAAATGTCTAGTATTTCAGCAACTGTAGTGATTAGAGAAGATTTACTGTAATGTTTACTTTATGAATATAGTCTGTCTTTAACAGGAAAGAGATTTTAAAATTCAAAGACAAGAAACGAGTGTCCCTGCTGCCTTTAGCACCACAACTCAAAAGTGCTTATGCTCCAGCTTTCCCAACTGCAGTAATAAATACAGTTCGCATCAGAGTCCTGGCAGGACACAGACAGCACACTCAAAACAGTGGCTAAAGAAACGTTAATAAAGAATCTATTAACAAAGGCATGGGCAACATTAAGGAAAACTCACAGAGATAGTTCAAAATCCTGGACCAGCAACAGCTGCTATCTGGGCTTGAAAGGATAAAGGGAGGGCGCTGTCACCAGCAGCCAGTGAGACTTGCAGTGATATGAGAGAACCTCCTGAAAGGAGCTCTGGCTTTGTCAGGAGAAACAAGCAGGGAATAAATATCACAAACTTCCTTTCCTCCAGCCTGCTGATCATACTAATAATATTGCAGTGTGTAAAGGTCAGCTTCCCAGGACACAAGGCAAGATAGAAGTGGTTAAAGAGAAAACTGAGGGGCAAAATGAAGAATATTCAGGATTTGCCTGCTAAACAAGAAGAAGAAACTGGGACTAGACAGAGTAGGGTCATGGAAGCTTCCTCAGCTGTGGGGTTGGCAGCCAACTCAACAGCCAGGCAGTGAGTGTGAGGTACCATGTCTAAAGATTTCCACCAAACCTGAGATTCCTCTGGGCTGGCTCAGAGTTTTAATCAAGAGGTGTGGCAAAGCAAAGGGAGTCCATGAGACTAGGATTTTAATCCAGTCCCAGTGATGAAAGCAACTGAGGATAAAGCAAATGTCATCCATGCTCCACTCCTAGGGTAGTCAGAAATGATGCTCTAGCACTTGACTTAGGGGTAGGGATCCAGGCTGATGGGAAACGGGCCTGCTAAAGGCAGAAGCTACCAAGTAAAGGGTACTAGCAAAATTATTTGGAAAAGACACTTACCAGAAAGTAGGAATTTAATAAGCACATGGACCGCCAGGGCTCACCCGAGGCTCAGTGGATATTGAGTGTACCACAGGTGAATGGAAACTGCTGAAACAGTGCCTGCCTTCATCAAAATAGTTCCAGATCCTATTCAGAATGGAACTTGCATGTGGAAGGTGTCAGGGCCTTAGATGATCAAGAATAGAAGTATGAGAGGATGGCAGTGAAGAATTTCTGACAGTAATAATTTTATGACATTGGATTTTTAAATATTTTGTATTCACTAAAGTAATATGTGATTATAGAACTATGCAGAGTAAAAAGTAAAATCCCCCTTTATCGCCACTTCTAATAGATATGTGTTTGTAACTATTTTGTATTTTAGCATTTTCTATATATGAATGCTTAGTTTCTTTTTTTAACTTTTAGGGTTGGGGGTATTTGTGCAGGTTTGTTACATAGGTAAATGTGTGTCATGGGGGCTTGTTGTATAGATTATTTCATCACCCAGGTATTAAGCCCAGTGCCCAGTGATTATCTTTTCTGCTCCTCTCCCTCCTCCCACCCTCCCACTCAAGTAGACCACAGTGTCTGTTGTTTCCTTATTTGTGTTCGTAAGTTTTCATCATTTAGCTCCTACTTATTTATAAGTGAGAATATGCAGTATTTGGTTTTCTGTTCCTGCATTACTTTGCTAAGGATAATGGCCTCCAGCTCCATCCATGTTCCCACAAAAGACACGATCTATTCTTTTTTATGACTGCATAGTATTCCATGGTGTATATGTACCACATTTTCTTTATTCACTCTGTCATTGATGGGCATTTAGGTTTATTCCATGTCTTTGCTATTGTGAATAGTGCTGCATTGAACATTTATGTGCATGTGTCTTTGTAGTAAAATGATTTATTTTCCTCTGGGTATCTACCCAGTAATGGGATTGTTGGGTTGAATGGTAGTTCTCCTTTTAGCTCTTTGAGGAATTGCCCTACTGCTTTCCACAGTGGCTGAACTAATTTACACTCATACTAACAGTGTATAAGTGTTCCCTTTTATCCACAACCTTGCCAGCATCTGATATTTTTTGACTTTTTAGTAATAGCCATTCTGACTGATGTGAGATGGTATTTCATTGTGGTTTTGATTTGCATTTCTCTAATAATCAGTGTTACTGAGCTTTTTTTCCATATGTTTGTTGACCGCAGGTACGTGAAAGGTCTCTATAATGAGGATTACAAAACATTGCTCAAAGAAATCAGAGAAGACACAAACAAATGGAAAACATCTCATGCTCATGGGTAGGAAGAATCAATATCATTAAAGTGGTCAAAATGCCCAAAGCAATTTACAGATGCAATCCTATTCCTATCAAACTACCAAAAAATGTTTAGTTTCTATGTAGTCAACATTGTTACTGTGTTATTTTAACAATTTGGTCTTTTTCCCCCTTACCAAAAGAAACATACTGAAGAACTTTTGACAAGATACAAAACAAAAACACCTTTGTCTGAAATATATATAGCAAGTGGCAATTCTTCTAGAAATATTTGTCTTTTATATGTGGCATTGTTTATTTAAAGAAATTTAAAACTTTTATATAGACAGCTTTATTAGTATTTTTCTTGATAATTTAAGAAACGCTTATCCTCTACTCAAATCTTTTAAAATATTTTCTTACATAATTTTACTTTTAAAATTTTGTACAAATATCTAATATGCATAGAATTTTTTAATTTATGGTGTGAATTAGAAGACACAATTTACATCAAATACATTTTGCAACACTGCTTTTTCTAGTTTAAATTGCCATAATTATTAACCATTAAGCCCACATATATATGGATCTGTTTCTCAACTGAATGTGGCTTCTTTAATTCGTGTGGTTAAACTCTTTTTGAGTTAGTATTACTGTATTATCATTTAATTACTGTCTTTATTTTTGCACTACATTCAGTATTAGTATCAGAGTGATGTAACCCCTATAAAGTGAATTACACAAGATTTCCATATATCTCTGTGTTCTGAAGAAGTTACTAAAACAGAAATTATCTCCACTTGAATATCACATGTAGAACAATATTGGTAGTATATTTTTAAAATTCTAAGGAAAATTTCTCTTTAGAGTTCTTTATAAAATCTCTTTGAAATCAGATTACAGGAAAGCACCATTGAGATTCTCAGTGGAACACACGTTAAATGTATAATAGCATAGTTTTTGGAAGTTAGAAGGCATGTATTTATTTATTTTTGTTTTTATTTTTATGAGACAGAGTCTTGCTCTGTTGCCCAGGCTAGAGTGCAGTGGCACCATCTCAGCTCACTGCAACCTCTGCCTCCTGGGTTACAGGCAATTTTCCTGTCTCAGCCTCCCAAGTAGTTGGGGTACAGGCATACACCACCATACCCAGCTACTTTTTGAACTTTTTTTGTAGAGATGGGCTTTCTGGGCTTTCACCATGTTGGCCAGGCTAGTCTCAAACTCCTGTCCTCAAGAGATCCGCCTGCCTTGGCCTCCCAAAGTGCTGGGATTACAAGTGTGAGCCACTGCGCCTGGCCAAAATTGAAGTGTATTTTTGCAAATTTGATCTTCCCATCCAATGAATTAATAGTATCTCCACTGATTTAAAACTTCATTCCATTCAATAACATAGACTTGTTTTCTATTAGTTTTCGTACTTTTTATGTTCTTCAGTAGGTTTGATTCTTATAGGTCTTGCATACTTCTTGCTAAATTTCTCAAGCCTTTATAGTTCTTGTAACTTTTCTAGATGCAGTATCTTCCTTTTACATTTCCTGATGGGTTATCCCTCCTAAATAAAAAAAATCTATTGATATATTATTT
The DNA here is from genome assembly GCF_000001405.40 of Homo sapiens. Taxonomy (NCBI): domain Eukaryota; kingdom Metazoa; phylum Chordata; class Mammalia; order Primates; family Hominidae; genus Homo; species Homo sapiens. Next base: position 129,611,318 of record NC_000004.12, on the reverse strand, counting down.
ATCTGCACTCTCACTATCTTTGTTTTGCTAGATTTAATCAATTTTAGTTGATTGTGTTGGATATTTTTTGTCTCTAAACAGTTATATCATTTGCAAATAAGGATAGCTTTATGTCTTAATTTCATTATTTTATAATCTTCTTAGTGTCTATTTTCATAGCATTGAATTGGATCACTAGAATAATACTCAGGAGCAGCAGTAGTTTTGAGTGCTGTTGTCTGCTTTGGTGGGTTATATTTCTAGTATTTCATTATTAGGGAAGATATTTGCTTTGGGTAACTGCATATACACTTCAGAATCAGGGTTGTTTCTTCCATTCCTAACTTGCCAAAATTCCCATCAGAAATTTTTTTTCATTTCTAACTTGCTGAGAGGTATCTTTGTTTTTATGTTTTGCTCTTCTTAAGTTCTGCATATTTATTTTCATAGGAATTGAGTATTAACATATATAAAAGTTTCTGCATGTTTTGAAAAGATCTCAGAATTTTTCATTTCATCTCTTAATTCACTGAATCACATTAATAGTTATTTTGAATATAGAGTCGTACTTGAAATCCTGAATTTAAAACTATGGAGTCATAATGTTTTTTAATTAAAACTTTATTGATCATATTGCAGATTTGCATGCAGTAGTTGTAAGGAATAATAATAAGACCCAACATATACTTTATCCAGTTTCCACCAATAGTAATATTTGCAAATATTATGATATTATCTATAGGATAATATCATAACTAGAATATTGACATGGATACAAGCCACCAATTGTATTCAGATTTCCCATTTGCTTGCACTCATTTGTGTGTGTGTGTATGTGTTTGTGCATTTAGTTCTACACAATTTTATCACATGTAGGCCTGTGTAGCCACCACTACAGTCAAGATATTGAACAGTTCCAGCATTACACAAAATAAACCCTTTGCCCTTTTATCACCAAAATCTACCTCCTGCCCTTCACTCTACCCCACCCCTGATCCCTAGACCTGGAAACTACTAATCTCTCCTCCATACAAAAAATGTTGACATTTCAAGATATTAGAAAAATTGACCTAAACAGCAAGTGACATTTTAGGATTGGCTTTTTTTCATTCAGAATAATTCTTTTGAGATTCATCCAGTGTTTACATGTATCAATATTTCACTATTTTTTCACTCTTTTTTGCTGAATATCACATATAGCTACCACAGTGTGTTTAATTATCTACTGTTGAAAAACATCTAGACTTATTCCAGTGTTTGGCTCTTATAGATAAATCTGATAAACAATTTATGTACAGGTTTTTGTACAAACATAAGTTTTCACTTCTCTGGGAAATTTATTTTCCTTTGTCTACTTTCTCATTCAATGTTTTGAGTTTTATTGTTGCGTTTTGAGAGTTTTTTTACATAGACCTTAAAGGGGGCCTATGTTGAGTTGCGTTTAAAGAAATTTGGCAATTCCAAAAAAAAAAGATTTTTGGGAACATTATTTCAGATTTCTCCATCCCATTGTCAGGGTCATATTCCTTCCCAAACAGAGCCTGACATTGACATTGCTGACCTGCTTTCTCAGGCATTTTACCTTCTTTGGAGCTCAGACACTCTTTCAACCAGGTTGTCATCCTAGTCTCCACCTTTCTCTGCCTTCTCAATGCAGGAAAATAAAGGTCTGTTGTATGCTACCAAGGAAATCTTCTAACTTTCAAATCTTCTAACTTTCAATTGCCAGTGAATCACTCTCAACCTGTCATTAACTTTTTTGGAGTTTTAGTATTGTTTAGCAATAACCATTCAACCATTCGGCCATCGTTTTTATGGGTACTATTTTTCTCATACTTTTCAAATGCTTGATACATTGCACGAGCTGATGCTTTCTCTTTTATAGGTGTATGAGCCCAAATTCATCACCTTTGAAAATTTTTACAATTGGACTATCTTTTGTGCCAGGTGTTATCTATGTATCACCTATGACCATGGATAGGAATGTCATTGCCACCTGAGTGGTGGGTAATCTAGTCAACAGACCGTGTATTATTGCCTATTTTTCCGGACCACCCCTGGCATCAATTGTTGCAGTTTTTGTTCTCCAGGAAGCAGACTCTAAGACAGAGTTTATAGTTCAAGTTATTCATCATGAAGTGCCCTTGGTATCAATATCTATGGAATAAAGGGAGAGCAAGCAAGATTGGGCATTGCGAGAAGCAGAACAATTAAGCAGTGAAGTCCATAGATTATCCAGCCTCACAGATAGACATGGAATTGAAATAATAAAAAAAAAAAAAACTGATCTATGTTTCAGCACAATGTCTAGACCCTTTTGTTTCCACCTTAATCAGTCTTTGGGTGTGGGCCATGCCTGGAAGGGCAGGAACTTTGGCAAGGGGGCTTTCTACAGCCAAAGCAATCCCTGCATGGGTCATCAACTGAAGTCTGTCAATTGACAGCACTTCCAGCACATAGATGAGCAAGAGTTCTCATTTGAAGGGAGATCAGGGTGGCACATCTTCATATCCTATATAAATGGATATGTCTAAGTGTTGACTAGTACACTCCACTATGAGTACTTGGAAAAGGCAGAGTTGTATAGTACAGGACCAAGAAGAATTGAAACAATTACTTTAATTTACCACACCTGTGTTGGTAATGACTAAATCTGGATTATCCCCATGTTGGATAAAGAAAAACTTCATTTTCAGTGTCAATGAAAAAAGCACTGCAAAAAAGAAAAAAGAAAACAAGACAAGAAATACTATCTAAAAGATTTTGTAGATGAGCATGACTAAAAATTATTAATTGAGAGAGCTAGAAAATACTTAGAAAACTAAGGGAATCAGATCTTCAACGTCTGAGGAGTCACACTTTCTCTTAACCTTCCACCCAGTAGTGGGCTGGAGCTGATTCAAACCTTTTCCGAAAGTATTACATTTTCAGAAATTTTAGAATCCAGTTATTAAACACAGCCATAAATTTAAAAATACATAAATTTATAATCAAATAAATTGTATTAAAACCCAAAGGTAACAAATACTCAAAACTCATGACTTCTCTATAATTTTACATTCTTACTCTTATCTACATTTTTTATCTTATTTACATCTATTATATCTGTTTGTTGGAAATATTCTAAAATGGTGTTCTACTGCACATATATTCCCAACTCTCCATATATACAGTGATATCACCTTGGTAGCTTGAAGTCAATAAGGAAATCAACATATGCTTCAAAGGAGGTGTTGGTTTATTGTTTGTTGATTGGCCACACTTAAAAAATGAGAGAGAAATTGTTAATAATTTAGATTAAACTTAAGTGTCCACTACATTGTACACAGTGCAAAAAAAAAACAAAGCATTTTTCTAGGATTGGAAAATTACTATCTGTTTCAGCAACAAAATCACTCATGTCATTGGCAAAAGAGTCAATTTTGACATGTCTTTGTTGTTTTACATTCATTTTTCTTGTTATTGTAAACAAATTATCAATCAGCATTCATGTCAGAACTGAACCTATTTGTCAGTTGCAACCAAGGTTTAGCTATGGATACAAGAGTTTGGCAAAAATTACCAAAAGCATCCTATGACAATTAATTCCCTATGTATAATTTATAATAAAAAGTATTATATACTTATTATTTGCAAATTGTGTGCTATATATCCTTTATATCAGTAAAACTTATAATAAATATATACATGTGTATACAGGCATACTTTCTTTTCAGAACACTGGTTGTTAAACATTTACTGACACACCATTGCCACCACCCCATCCTCAATTGCCCTTCTTTCACCTTACACCCATCATATAATGCTTTGATCTTGAGTATAAGATCTTTGAAGTGCAAGAAAAAAAGGACAATTGAAATATTGGTGTCAACTTTTAAGATGTTAAATGAAGATACCATAAACCTCAGTAGTGTCTTTTGCCTCTTTCCTTGTCTTTTGCAAAACTTCATGTTAGAGTGTTCTATATTCAGCCATATTAAAGAGTAGTGAAGCTAATTAAATATTTTCATTTAATGACCTCGCCTCCCCTATCCCTTTGCTGTTGTCAAAAAATGAAGACCTCTTGATGTTGAGTTTTATGCTAGTAAAGAAATTATTATCAGTAAGAAATATTGAAGCTGACATGCCTTATTTCATTTAGGAAGCAAGCTCGTCAAGGATCCATTCTTTAACCGTCATCAAATTCAGAAGTGAGGTAGTTGTCAGAGTAAAATGTATTAACATATTTATTGAACTGAAAAATAAAACCAAACTTTTTCTGACAGGAAGTAACTCGGATTTGGCTGACTGGTCAAATCAAAAAGAACTGGCTTTGCCAATTAGGTTGCATGACAGACATTTTCCAAAACTGAATAAGCGAAGCCTGAAGTCCCATAGTTTTTACAAGAGTATATGTAATGCATGTGGTAATATAATAGCATTTTTTCCAAAATACTATATTGTCCAATGTATATTTAAATTAATAATATTTCTGTTTTCTGACTATGTCAGGTTTAAAAGTTGCTCTAAGTGAAAAAGTAACAGGTACAATTAATTCATTTGATATGCCTTGTTATGTATCTTCTGCAAATCTGGTTTCTTCATTTAACAAAACAAAAAAGAAAAAGGAAGCCCTAACCGAGTTGCTGATTATAAAACACTTTTTTGATAATAGAACATGGTGATTTGGGTAGAACAAAGAGGATGAAAGAACCGAGTGAGACAGTTATTCAAAACTTCTTTCCATTCCCATTTATTTATATGTAACCAAAATTTCTTAGGGCCTGCATATAGAAATGCCAAAATAGCGTAAGAATTAATGTCTCCTGTCTTATTCTAGTAATAAATAATATTTTTTTTGAAATATAAGACAGTGTTATCTGTTTCATTAAGAAATACATTTCTTGGCTGGGCACGGTGGCTGATGCTGGGCACAGTGGCTAATCCTAGCACTTTGAGAGGCTGAGGAAGAAGTATCACTTGAGGCTGGGAGTTCAAGACCAGCTTGAGCAACAGGGCAAGATCTTATCTCAAAAAAAAAAAAAAACAAAAAACAGCCAGGCCTGTATAGTACAGGGCCAAGAAGAAGAATGTATAGCCAGGAGGCTGAGGTGGGAGGATTTCTCAAACCCAGGAGGAGTTCGAGGCTGCAATAAGCCATGATCACGTCACTGCACTCCAGCCTGGGTGACAGAGTGAGATTCTGTCACCGAAAGCAACAAAAAGAGAAACGTATTTCTGATAAAATTGTGTGTAATTGGAATGTTGTGTAAAACAAAGTGTTTTAAATAATATATATCAAGATTTAAAATAAGTATGCTGTTTTGAGTAATTATTTTAAAATAATTGTAATGATCAATCAATCCAGAACTTTTAACATATATATCTTATGGTTACCAGAAATAAAATTTTACATGTAAATATATATTTGCATTTCTATAAGCTGTCTAGATATAATTTTTTAAACTTATTTTTTATTTCAGAGAAGTATAAAAGAATGATGAATGAATAATGTGTGAGCTTTAAAAGCTCTTATATCAGAAATAATTCTAAGACAAGTAGAATGAAAATATGGGTAAAGGAGAAAAAAATGTAACTTTTTGATTATGTATTTTTACATAGATAATGTGGTGATATTAAATCACTATGAAAGATTTCATTCGAGATTTTTTTTAAATAATGCAACATTTTATTTTGAGATGTTAACTTTAAAAATGTGCAAGGGATATTTTTCACAATTCTTTGAGGTGGTTTGTGAGTAGCAAAGAATTGAAGACCACTACAGCTAAAAGGAAGAGAGTCAAGACATGATTAACATTTAATAAATAATGAAACTAACGTATGGTTTTTTTAATGACAATATTTGAGCAGGGAGAGGTTCTTTAATAATCTAGTAGTATAATTCTGAAAAAACTAAATGACAAAAAAACTTGGCAGCTCGTTTACTCCCAGGATGTTCCCTAAAATGGTGTCCAAGGAAATATAAATATTCACAAATATAACTAATATGTTAAAAATTTAGAGAAAAGTAACTTTCTGATACAACTGAGCTGTTTTGCTTAATTAAATCATGGGAAATTGTGAGTAGTTTGAAATTGATTTAAATGCTTTGGGGATTGGGCAGCATGATAGCAGTTGAAAATGGCAGTTGGATAAGTGGAAGGTAATTGCACATTGTCAGAAAAAAAGTCTCTGATTCTGACTGGAAATAGATTCCCTTTGAAAATATGCACTAACCCGTGCTCTGATTTAAGTGGTTTCTCACAAATGTTAGAATTCTTCATAAAAAACATTTTTCTCCAACTCTGAGGATGGCTAAATACAGTCTGATCTACTACATGTAATTCTACTATTTTTAAATGTTTCTTTTCCATCCTTTTTAGGAATCATTCTGGAATGTAAAAACTAGGTTGAATCTAAATGCATTTTCATGCCCTTGGGAAACTTGCACTCAGACAAGAGTACTGGGATGTGTTATTAGAAAAAGGAAAAGGCACTAGAGAGGAAGTCAAAAGAAGAATCATTGCAACATTAGAACACATGCTTAAGAGCTAACTGAAATAACTATTAAAGCCTTTTCTCAATGTCATTGTCATCATTTACTAGTCCCTTTGGGATCAGAGATTATATCAATTCATTTTGCATATCATTCAGCAGTACAACAAAGTAAAACAAAAATCAAATGTGTGCTTTTGCTCATTATCATTATTAGAAATCTTAAAGACCATCTCAAAGAGTCAGTCCTCTTTATAAACATTTTAAACTAGATGTGCTAGATTTCTAGGTTTATTTTATGCTTAGGGTTGAATCTTAGATACAATTATTTTTAATCAATCAGAAGTTTCCATTTTTCCACATGTTCATTCATTCATTTAACAAAATGTGAGTCCCTCTATGTGCTGAGTCATACGTAGAGTGCTAATTATTAAGAACAAAAATAAACATGGTTTTGTTCTCAAGGAACTTGCAATCAGGTGGAAGAGATAAAAACAAATGCAAGCATAAGTATATAATTTAAAATTATGGTAAATGCTATGAAGCAAATGTATAGTGAAAGAACCTATCTAGATATGGTACGCAGGGAATACATTGAAAGAGTTCATGTAAGTACAAACTTGAATTACCAGAAGGAACCAGCAAGTGCTCAAACAATTAAAACAAGGCCAGTGTGGCCAGAACTTGATGGTTACAGGAAATGTATAAAGGTTGATTTTGAAGAAGCAGAAACCAACTTTTACATGGCTTGGAAGGGGTATGAGTTTTATTTAAGGAGTACTGAGATATTATTATAGGGTTTTTCAAAAGAAAGGCAAAATACTAAGAATTACGTTTCAAAAATATTTTTCTGCTAGAATTGTGAAGAATACATTGGACAGGCTTTTGTTTGGGTAGTATAGTTAATAAAATACCATAATGTATTCTGAGCTTACAAGAAGTAAGAGAAATCTTAAGGTCAAAAAATGAGAAAGAGAAAAAGTTGAAGCTGGAAAGAAGAGGAGACAGAAAACTAACCTAGATATGAGATAGCCACTAAGTAAACTACGAGTTCCTACAAAAATGGGAGTGTTTCACATGTCTCTGAATTTCACATAATCTACTTATCTCAAGTGGGAAGGCTAAAGGGAATCAAGAGCTTCTGGGTTGTTAGCACAACCTGTTACCCAGCAAAGAAGAAGAAACAGAGAACCTCTCTGTTTGTGCGTATAGCTTAGAGAAATTAAAACTCAAAATTCATGCTTCCCATTTTTTTTCTGCTGAGTCTCCAACAGAGGAGCCTTGATACCCATGTCAGGGTCACTGGATGGAAAATTACTGAGAGGAAATATCACGGGTAAGGGAGATTCTGACTAAACCCACCTAACAGGATTCTTGCTGAAGACAGATGAGAATGATCTGACATCAATCACTGGGGGGATGGTGGAACATGAGGAACCTGATTAGATTGCAACAAGGATGAGACGACATCAAGAGTGAAAGGTTCTTGCTAAACTGCCATAGAAAGGTTCTTTGCTAATATTGCTTTTTAAAAGCAAGTTCACAGATGGTCCTAGGAGAAGTTTCAAGAGCCTGACTAATGTCCAGCCTAGCAAAGAATCTTTGTCAGAGGAAGACTTCAAATTAGTCCAATTACTTCGGAACCAAGAGTCTCCTAAGCCTACAATTTAAAGAGCTTGAGAGTTAACAAAATTCCACAGCAATCAAGTAGAAAAATCATGCAAATCCCTGAGTCCTAGCTGGGACATTTATCCCAGGTAAAATATTATTCTTTGATCCCAGGGTTTAGTATTGCCATAACCTCTCAGTGAGAGAAAGAGAAAGAGAGAGAGAGAGAGAGAGAGAGAGAGAGACTGAGAAAGAACTATATATTGGTCTCAACCTCATCAAAATGTTGTTAATCAGAACCTATGGCCTGAAAATTTAAACTCAAATAAGGGAAATCATTACAAAACCTTAATTTTGGCACTGTCTTATGGTACAGTTTGGGAGATATACATCTATTCAAACTCCCTCTTCTAAAGTGTGTGTGTGAGAGAGTAGGGTGCAATTAAGACAATTTCTGCATTTCTGTGAAAGTTAGAAATTTGCAGTGATGGCAGCCCTTGTCACCAGGTACTATCAGAGGCATCTTTCTTTCTCATCCAATGTATTCCAAGGCATCCTAATCTCCATTTTCTCTGTAAGGACTTTTTTTAGATTCCCAACCACATGACTGAGTTAAGTCTTATGACGTAACATCTACAATTTCCTAGAAGCAAGTATCTTGGACCCAAAGTTTTGGACAATTCCCACTGCCACTCACAATAAAATTACTTAGACCTATGAAATCTGGCACCTGTGGAAGTTTTCTCTCTCATATGTAGCTAACAAATCTAGAGCCAACATGAGGATAAATGGCTCTTGAGATTTGGAAAAGCTGTATGGATTCAAACTCAGTATCTTCACAATTTTGTCTCTCAGCTCTGAAGGCAGATCAAAAACACACAAGGAACTATAAAATTTAAAAGAACTATCTACAGCATCTACCTAGGCCTGGAACTAAGAATTTAAATGTAAGCACTCACATGCTGATAGGATTTAGATGCTTTTGCAGTATAAACTATACCTATAGACGTGGTTGAGAAACACAGTAAAACTGGCAAAATTTTGTGCATAGAGGCTATATCTGAAAAGACTATCTTTCCTTCATAGTTGAATCATTGCCTCAGATGTACCTGCTTACTGAAGCCCGCACAGCCTGGTCCACGTACAGTCAAAGTGTGCATATAGGTCAAGCTACAGCTGTCCATACCCTAAACGGTTCTATCTGATAACTACCCACCCCTTTGCTGAAGACAGTTTGGCCTGAATGTGCTCAATTCTTATATGCCAAAGTCAGGGTGTGACACAGCTCTGCTAATGTCTCCAGACATCACCCATGCCTATAGACTGCGGCTTTTCCTAGGTACAAAGTTTTACTAAAAATAAGCTATGCCCTTGTGGCATTTGGTTAAGCACTTTCTTACCCACAGTCATTTTTGAACCCTACTCCTTCGCTGACGACCAAACATTTTGCTGACACTGGAATCTTTGATGAGGACCTAGGTCTCTCTCTTTATATAAACAACCATTTCTATGTAAAAACAAACAAAAACAAATCAAAACAAATGAACAAAAACCTACTATAAAGTGATATAACCTTTAAAACAGCAAGTGCTATGTAATCTAAGGTTCATTAATCTCATTCAAAGAGTTAAAACCTAATCTGCAAACTGTAAACAGTGGCCACATTGGCTGACATACGTCTCTAAGAACTGCCAAAGTAAAAAATCAACATGGTCTATATTTAATGAAATATGACCAATGTTCAAAGTCACCCACCCTAATTTACGAGAAGGCTACTTTATCAATAAGTATTTTATTCTTCCAAAATTTATTACCACTTTATTTCTCATGATTCCTGGCCCCAAGTTCTAGATCAAAAGTCAGAAAACATTTTTTGTAAAGGGCCAGAGAGTGAATGTTTTAGGCTTTGTAAGCCTAAAATTTTGGTGCATATTTGCCTTTGTTTTTTATAAAATCTTTAGAAACAGAAATAGTATTTGGGCCAAATTTAAGCCATGGACCATGTTTGCCAGCCCCTTTTCTAGTTGTTGAGACCATAATTACATTCTGAAAACCTTCTGAAACCCCAGAAAAAGTGGTTGTCGTCTAGAAGAGCCGGAGGCTGCCATTAACACTGATGGGAAGGAAGTAAGCTATTGACAGCGCATGCTCTCTACAGACAGCGGGTGTCTCAAGGGGAATCAAGAGCAAGAGCATGTGCACTTATTCAGTACAGTAAAGCACACTTTCCAGAGGAAGGAATAAAGAAAGAGCTGAGCTATATGTGCTCTGAATGAACTCAACAGTCACTCCTGAGAAGACGTAAGGAAGGGTGGAAAGAGGCCAGCAGTAACACTCATAGAAAAAAACAGAAAACAAAATTAGTAGTGAAGAAGACTCCCCCATTTTAAAATAATATTCAACAGAAGTTAGCTATTACCTTCATTTCCTAATATTTTTTCATAAAATTATTCTAAATTTTAACAACTTTATTTGCTGGTGGTTTGTTCTGTTTATCTGACTCATTTGTTTATTGAAGGCAAAGATCATATCCATCTTACTCATTATTTCCAAAAACTTTGACAGGAATTTTAGTCCTATGCCTAGCACATAGTAAACCCTCAAAACAGAAAAAAGTGGGAGACACAATAAGCATTGAGGTGGAGGTATGGGGGGGAACTCAAGAGCTTTGGATATGGTTTTAGTGCTTTGGTGCTTCTATAACAAAATACCTTAGACTGGGTAATTTATAAACAACAGAAATTTATTGCTCTTAGTTCTGGAGTCTGGGAAGGCCAAGATCAAGTCACCAATAAATTCAGTGTCTGGTGAGGTCTTGCTCTTGGCATCAAAGATGGCCTACTAGCTGGGTTCTCACGTGGCAGAAGGAAAAAACAAGCTTCTTTGGGTCTCTTTTATAAGGGCACTAATCCCATTCATGAGGGTAGAACCAAAGGCCTAATTATCTCCCAAAAGCCTCACCATCTCCCAGAGGCCTCACCACTTAATAACAACACAGATTAGGTTTTAATGTATCAATTTTTAAAGGACACAAACATTCAGAATATAATATATGTTAAATTTAAAATACCTGGAACACATGATGTAAAGACGTAAAACAGACAATCAAGGTGAGCTTTGAAACCAGGTAAAAGAGTTAGACTGGAGTTATAAATTCAAATGTCATCAACATAGAGATGGGATTTTCTTGGCAAATTATACACAGACCTAGTATAATCTTGAGGAACTGTATTATGTTTATGTTATATGCAGAATGAACAAAAGAAAATGGGGGATGTGTAATTAGAAAGGTAGTAGAAAAATCAGGATAGTGCAACGCAGAGAAAACCAAGAAAGGGAGGGCAAACTCTAAATTGGATGATGCCAGTAGCTGTGCTGAGTGCTCCTAAGAGGGAAAATAGGATGAAAACATAACAAAAATCATTTGATTTAGCAATATGGAGGTAACTGGGAGGGCAGTTAGGGGCTTATATGTGAATATATTTCGATGATTTGAAAATATGATTTGGCAGATTGGCTTTTGTGAACCTGTGGTAAGTAGGCAGAAAAGAATAAAGAAAAATGAATCTGATTATTAAATTACCCAAAACTATCTTTGCCTTGTGCCATAAACCAAATTTCTGTATCCTCTCAAAATTCATAGGTTGAAACTTAATCCCAAATGTGATGGTATTTTAAAGTAGAACCTTTGAGAGACAATTATGCCATAAGGGCAGAGCCCTTATGAATAGGGTTAGTGCCCTTATTAAAGGGACCACAGAGAGATCCCTTGCTCCTTCAGTCATGTGACGACACAGTGAGAAGACAGACATCTGTGAACAGGAAACAAGCCCTCACCAGATACCAAAGGTGATGGTGCCTTGATCTTGGGTTTCCCAGATTTTACAACTCCAAAAAACAAGTGTCTGTTGTTTATAAACCATCCAGATTATGGTATTTTTATAGCAGCCTAAACAGACACACCTCATGTTAACGTTTTTGAGATTTATTAAAATTCACCTAGAATTGTAACTAGAATTTTATTTGCAGTTCTGTTCTTAATTTTTGAGGAAAGAGCCACAATCATCCCTAAACACCAGAACATGGTTCATCACAAAGAATAAAGACAATTTATGAAACTAGTTGTAACTAGAGGTTACAAAGTTTAATTCTAGGGCTATGTGATTACAAAGACCTCGTAGATTTTGTGAGTACTAACAACTATATTAGATATAGAAGTTCAGATAATAAGAATAATCAAAGTTAATGCTTCAGAATATAAACTTATTGCCTGCAAGGCTGAAGAAGGAATTTTGTCTGTTTCCTGCATTAAGTATAGCACTATATACTTGGATAGCCACATCAGAAGGGTTGAACAAAGAGGCAACAAGGTTCACAGTATCTGAAATGTGAGGTTTGGTCATTGCAGGAATCAAGATGCTGAACCATCTGTTATAAAAGAGTTATGATTTCCAATATGAGAATGAATGTGTTGAAATATGCAGCACTAAATCTCCAAAGAAAACATACAGCATTGCACAATCACTATAAAAAATTTTCACATTAATAAGTAAAATTTTTAAAGCAACATGAATATTGGCAATCAATAATCCCTTTCCATTATATGGTTGTCTCTTAGCTGCAAATGTGCAGCAAGATTATGATTGATTAGTTTTAGGTAAACATTGAGATTCTATGTCAACATAAAAGTAACTGAGTAAATTAAATTAAAAGAAATAAAAACAAAAATTGAATTTCTTACATCTCTACACAGGTACTTGAAATGAACATAGTTTTTTTAATCTAAAATTCTTATTTCTTTTCTGAGTAATTACATTAAAGACAAGATAGATTATAAAGACATTAATCACTGCCCTAAATCCTATTATTATGGCTGTTGTTTGAAGGTTATATAAAATATTTACTAGTAACTTTTTATTAGACTGTCAATATTCAGCGTTTCTCACCACTGCATCACTTTAACCTATCTATTTTCCCAACGTGAAAAACACATTTGCATGTGTGTACATATTCCTGACCTTTAGTGAAATGAAAAGAGACTGATCGAATACCTGAGGTATTAGAGCTGCCGTTTCAGCCAACCAATTAGTGAAGCAGTGCCTTCCATTTGCAAGGCCAAAAATGAAATCCTATTGACCCGGCGTAGGTGTAAAAACAGACTATAGTAGTTTGATGTGTATAAATTAGGAATGCACTTTGACATGCAAAGAGAAACATGAATAACAATTTTACTTGACTGACAAATTAACAATCACCATAGCAATCTTGAAATATAAAAGAATAATATAAAACATATGAAGAGGGACATATTTCCTTTTGTCTTCCTCCTATCTGCTTAGCTCATTTCTTAAGCAAATAACTATCATTTGAAATGATAATAAATCAAAGGGTTTGTGAGAGGTGATATATTAAACAATTGTAATTTAAATATACTTGTTGAACTATTTTCTATTAACAGTCTATATGCAGGATTTAACACTGAATCATGCATATAAAGAACATGCTTGCTTTCTTTTTCAAAAATTTTCTCAACAGAAATTATGAAGTGTGTGTGATTATATGAATTCCTGGCAGGACAAAGTTCCAAAGTTGGGTAGAAAACCAATACTTTCTAACTCAAAAGTTGAATGCACTGAATGTGAAGACATCAAATGGCTTTAAGTGAATAGCAAAGAAATAAATACTACAAATTTTATAATCCATTATAACAATTACTTATAAAACTTTCATATGCCCAACGTTGTATTTACTAGAAATGATGGAAAGTAAAAATTTTAACGAATGATTAAATATTCAATGAAAATTAAATCATGAAACCATAGTTTATGTGTGTTTGGGGAGGAGGGAGAGAGATTATTACTCTAATGTATTAAGAAATATGTAATAAAAAAGAGAGAGGTCGGTGTAAGATCTGACGAAAGTATTGGTAAACTAGGAGTTAAGAAAATGAGTTCAAATCTAACCTTTAGCACAGATCCCTATGAGCTGTACCATCTTGGAAAAATACGTAAGCCTCTTCAGCTATACAAATGGGGAAAATAAAACCAAGCTCACAGGATTGCTGTGAATATCCTAAGAGATAATGAAGAAGACATTACTTAGCAGTTTCTACCATGTGGGAAGTCACAGATATGCCCCTCAAGTTTCTCTTACCAGAAAGTTTCCTCTTTTCCACTCCTTCCCTCCTTATTACCCCAGGCCTCCTCTTATATGCCCAAAGTAAGCCATGCCTGAGAATTTGTCCCCCTCCTGACATGAAATACTAGAGTAAAAAGTGCAGGGCCTCCTTGATATTTGTGGCTTGCACCGATGGTTATAGAGATCTTGCATGCATTTTTAACCTGTGTCTATTCAATTTCCAGGATCCCTTGGTGGTGACTATCTTGCTGAATTCCTGAGTATTGCTGCTCTAAATCACTGATATGTCAGTGACACTCATTCCTGAGCTTTTGCAAAATGACCTTCCAGCATACAGAAATAAAATGTTAGAACTTTGATATGTCTTGATGTTTTAGTATATCTTTTAAAAAATTACATTGTCTGTATAATTTTAAACCTGCAGAAAAAATGTATAGTAGCAGATGTATGCATTATACACATAAATATATTATATTGTTATAATCCTAAAGGAGAGTTTATCACATGCTTGGCACTCATTTGAGTGCTTTACCGATACTGTCATTTAATCTTTACTACAATTCTATGATGGTCATCCCCTTTTACAGATGAGAAAGGCAAGTCACACTTGCCTGGATCACGCTGCTACTACTAGCAGAGAACAGATTCAAATCCAGGCAGTCAGACTCCTGGCTCCAAAGTTTGTATTCTTGACCACTCTGACACATTGTCTTCATGTGCAAAAGTTATAGTTGTTTCAAAAATGTGTATTATATAGAGAGAAGGTATATGCCTGCTCAGAGTGGAGAAATTGATCATGGCCCCACCCCTCTATAAAGTAGGAAAATAATAATAGTAATCCCAGAAAAGTTTATCCAATCAGTGAACAGGGGAGAACCCTGCCATGTTCTCAGTAGAGCTCCAGGAGGTGGCTTTTTCACCAGCCCTTCCTTCTTTCCTTGCTTCCTTCCTTCCCTTCCCTTCCCTCCCTCCCTCCCTTCCTTCTTTCCCTCCCTCCCCCCTCCCTCAGTCCCTCCCCACTCCCTTCCTTCCTTCCCTCTGTCACTTCTCCCCTTCCCTTCCCCCTCCCTTTCTTCCTTCTTTATTACCTTTTGCATAGCAGCTTGTTCTGGGTTTTATATATGCAAATTCTCTCAAAAGTCCCTACAGTCACAAATTAATTTTTTAACATTCTCTTTCTTTTCTGGCACTTTGTTTCCTCTGGAAAAAGTTTTATGTTTAGCTTTGTATTTTTTATAATGTAATTGTATTTCTTCAAGTATTTGTTTTTTATTGACTATTCATTTATTCTTATACAATAGTCACTAATGAATTTTACAACATAGAATACAGAATTTATAATTGACTTGTTTGTTCTTTCCAGCTTTATTGAGTTATGATTAACAAATAAAAACTGTATACATTTAAGGTATACAATGTGATGTTTTTACATACATCTACATTTTGAAACAATTACCAAAATCAAGCTAATTAACATATAACATATTTATATATGAATATATATATAAAAATATTGTCTTCATTCATTTATCCATTGATGGACACATAGGTTGTTTCTATATCTTGGCTATTTTGAATAATGCTGCAATGAACATGAGAGTGCAGATATTTCTTCAAAATACTGATTTTATTTCCTTTAGATACATAATCAGGAGTAGGATTATTGAACCTTATGGTAGTTCCATTTTTAATTTTGGGGGCTACCTCATACTGTTTTCCATAATGACTGTAACAATTGACATTCTCATCAATAGTGTACAGGATTTATTTTTCTCCACATCCTTAACATAAGTCATTATTTTTGTCTTTTTTATAATAGCCATTCTAACATATATAAGGTAATATTTCATTTTGATTTTGTTTGGCATTTCTTTGATGCTCAGTAATATTGAGCACCTTTTATATACTATTTGGCCTTTTGTGTGTCTTTTTAAAGAATGTCTACTCAGATACCTTGCCCATTTTTTAATCATGTTATTTGGATTTTTGGTTTTGAGTTGAGTTTCTTTTATATTTTGGATATTAGTCTCTTGTCAAATGTATATATGGTTTATAAATGTTTTCTATCATTCCATAGGTTGTCTCTCCACTCTGCTGATCATTTGCTTTGCTGTGCAGCACTTTTGCAGTTTGATCCAGTCCTATTTGTCTATTTTGCTTTTGCTGTCTGTGTTTTTGGGGTGATGTCCAAAAAGTGATTGCTCACACTGATATCATGGAGCTCTTTACCTGTTTTCTTCTAGTAATTTTACAGTTTCATGTCTTACATTTAAGCCTTTAATCCATTTTAGGTTGATTTTT
This sequence comes from Homo sapiens, assembly GCF_000001405.40. NCBI lineage: Eukaryota > Metazoa > Chordata > Mammalia > Primates > Hominidae > Homo > Homo sapiens. The sequence goes on along the minus strand of NC_000004.12, from coordinate 129,594,818 downwards.
TATATGATGTGAGATAAATATCTAATTTCATTCTTCCACATGTGGTTACCCAGTTTTCCCAACACCGTTCATTGAGAGAATATCCTTTCCCCATTTTGTGTTCTTGGCAACTGTGTTGAAGATCACTTTACTAAAAAATGCATGGGTTTATTTATGGATTCTCTATTCTGTTCCACTAGTCTATATGGCTATTTTTATGTCGGTACCATACTGTTTTGATTACCATAGATTTGTAGTATATTTTAAAATCAGGCAGTGTGATTGTTCCAACTTTGTTGTTTTTACTTAAGATCATTTTAGCTATTTGGGTTCTTTCATGGTTTTGTGTGGCTTTTAGAATTATTTTTTCCAATGGCATGAAAAATGCAATGGGAATTTTTATAGAGATTGCAATAAATCTGTAAATCACTGAGTATTATGAAAATTTTAACAATATGATTTTTCCAATGCATGAACATGAGATGTTTCCATTTATTTATGACTTAAATTTCTTTCATCAATGTTTATCATTTTTAGTCTACAGATCTTTTACTTTCTTGGTTAAATTTATTTATAAGTATCTTACTGTTTTTAATACTATTGTAAATGGAATTGTTTAATTTTTTCAGATAGTTCCTTACTGGTCTATAGAAATGCAACCAATTTTGGTTTGTTGACTCTGTATCCTGCAAATTTACTAAATTCATTTATTAGTTCTAACAGGTTTTTGGTGGAATCTTGAGGCTTTCTATATATAAGATTCTGTCATCCACAGACATTTTCACTTTTTACTTTCTAATTTGTATGCCTTTTCTTTTTCTTGCCTAATTGCTCTGGCTAATATTTCCAGTATTATGTTGAAGAGAAGTAACAAAATGAACATATTTCTCTTTTCCCTCATCTTAAAGAAAAAAAATTTAGCTTTTCTTTTTTTTTACATTTATTTATTTATTTATTTATTTATTTATTATTACACTTTAAGTTCTAGGGTACATGTGCACAATGTGCAGGTTTGTTACATTTGTATACATGTGCCATGTTGCTGTGCAGCACCCATTAACTCATCATTTAACATTAGGTATATCTCCTAATGCTATCCCTCCCCGCTCCCCCCACCCCATGACAGGCCCTGGTGTGTGATGTTCCCCACCCTGTGTCCAAGTGTTCTCATTGTTCAATTCCCACCCATGAGTGAAAACATGCAGTGTTTGCTTTCCTGTCCTTGCGACAGTTTGCTCAGAATGATGGTTTCCAGCTTCATACATGTCCCTAAAAAGGACATGAACTCATCCTTTTTTATGGCTGCATAGTATTCCATGTGTATATGTGCCACATTTTCTTAATCTGGTCTATCATTGATGGACATTTGGGTTGGTTTCCGGTCTTCGCTATTATGAATAGTGCCACAATAAATGTACGTGTGCATGTGTCTTTATAGCAGCATGATTTATAATCCTTTGGGTATATACCCAGTAATGGGATGGCTGGGTCAAATGGTATTTCTAGTTCTAGATCCTTCAGGAATCACCACACTGTGTTCTACGATGGTTTAACTAGTTTACAGTCCCACCAACAGTGTAAAAGTGTTCCATTTCTCTACATCCTCTCCAGCACCTGTTGTTTCCTGACCTTTTAATGATCACCATTCTAACTGGTGTGAGATGGTATCTCCTTGTGGTTTTGATTTGCATTTCTCTGATGGCCAGTGATGATGAGCATTTTTTCATGTGTCTGTTGGCTGCATAAATGTCGTCTTTTGAGAATTGTCTTTTCATATCCTTCACCCACTTTTTGATGGGGTTGTTAGATTTTTTTTTGTAAATTTGTTTAAGTTCTTTGTAGATTCTGGATATTAGCCCTTCATCAGATGGGTAGATTGTGAAAATTTTCTCCCATTCTGTAGGTTGCCTGTTCACTCTGATGGTAGTTTCTTTTGCTCTGCAGAAGCTATTTAGTTTAATTACATCCCATTTGTCAATTTTGGCTTTTGTTGCCATTGCTTTTGGTGTTTTAGACATGAAGTCCTTGCCCATGCCTATGTCCTGAAGGGTATTGCCTAGGTTTTCTTCTAGGGTTTTTATGGTTTTAGGTCTAACATTTAAGTCTTTAATCCATCTTGAATTAATTTTTGTACAAGGTGTAAGGAAGGGATCCAGTTTCAGCTTTCTACATATGGCTAGCCAGTTTTCCCAGCACCATTTATTGAATAGGGAATCTTTTCCCCATTTCTTGTTTTTGTCAGGTTTGTCAAAGATCAGATGGTTGTAAATGTGTGGTGTTATTTCGGAGGCCTCTGTTCTTTTCCATTGGTCTACATCTCTGTTTTGGTGCCAGTACCATGCTGTTTTGGTTACTGTAGCCTTATAGTATAGTTTGAAGTCAGGTAGCGAGATGCCTCCAGCTTTGTTCTTTTGCCTTAGGATTGTCTTGGCAATGTGGGCTCTCTTTTGGTTCCATATGAACTTTAAAGTAGTTTTTTCCAATTCTGTGAAGAAAGTCATTGGCAGCTTGATGGGGATGGCATTGAATCTATAAATTACCTTTGGCAGTATGGCCATTTTCGCAATATTGATTCTTCCTATCCATGAGCAGGGAATGTTATTCCATTTGTTTGTGTCCTCTTTTATTTCATTGAGCAGTTGTTTGTAGTTCTCTTTGAAGAGGTCCTTCACATCCCTTTTAAGTTGTGTTCCTAGATATTTTATTCTCTTTGAAGCAATTGTGAATGGGAGTTCATTCATGAGTTGGCTATCCATTTGTCTGTTATTGGTGTATAGGAATGCTTGCGATTTTTGCACATTGATTTTGTATCCCGAGACTTTGCTGAAGTTGCTTTTCAGCTTACGGAGATTTTGGGCTGAGACAATGGGGTTTTCTAAATATACAATCACATCGTCTGCAAACAGGGACAATTTGACTTACTCTTTTCCTATTTGAATACCCTTTCTTTCTCTTGTCTGATTTCCCTGGCCAGAACTTCCAACACTATGTTGAATAGGAGTGGTGAGAAAGGGCATCGCTGTCTTGTGCCAGTTTTCAAAGGGAATGCTTGCAGCTTTTGCCCATTCAGTATGATATTGGCTGTGGGTCTGTCATAAATAGCTCTTATTATTTTGAGATATGTCCCATCAATACCCAGTTTATTGAGAGTTTTTAGCATGAAGGGCTGTTGAATTTTGTTGAAGACCTTTTCTGCATCTATTGAGATAATCATGTGGTTTTTGTCTTTGGTTCTGCTTATATGCTGGATTACATTTATTGATTTGCATATGTTGAACCAGCCTTGCATCCTAGGGATGAAGTTAACGTGGTCGTGGTGTATAAGCTTTCTGATGTGCTGCTGGATTCAGTTTGCCAGTATTTTATTGAGGATTTTTGCATTGATGTTCATCAGGGATATTGGTCTAAAATTCTCTTTTTTTGTTGTGTCTCTGCCAGGCTATAGTATCGGGATGATGCTGGCCTCATAAAATGAGTTAGGGAGGATTTCCTCTTTTTCTATTGATTGTAATAGTTTCAGAAGGAATGGTACCAGATCCTCTTTGTACCTCTGGTAGAATTCAGCTGTAAATCCGTCTGGTCTTGGACTTTTTTTGCTTGGCAGGCTATTAATTATTGCCTCAATATTAGAGCCTGTTATTGGTCTATTCAGGGATTCAGCTTCTTCCTGGTTTAGTCTTGGGAAGGTGTATGTGTCCAGGAATTTATCCATTTCTTCTAGATTTTCTAGTTTATTTGCGTAGAGGTGTTTATAGTATTCTCTGATGGTAGTTTGTATTCCTGTGTGATCAGTGGTCATATCCCCTTTATCATTTTTTATTGCATCTATTTGATTCTTCTCTCTTTTCTTCTTTATTAATCTTGCTAGTGGTCTATCAATTTTGTTCATCTTTTCAAAAAACCAGCTCCTGGATTCATTGATTTTTTGAAGGGTTTTTTATGTCTCTATCTCCTTCAGTTCTGCTCTAATCTTAGTTATTTCTTGCCTTCTGCTAGCTTTTAAATGAGTTTGCTCTTGCTTCTCTAGTTCTTTTAATTGTGATGTTAGGGTGCCAATTTTAGATCTTTCCTGCTTTCTCTTGTGGGCTTTTAGTGCTAAAAATATCCCTCTACACACTGCTTTAAATGTGTCCCAGAGACTCTGGTATGTTGTGTCTTTGTTCTCATTGGTTTCAAAGAACATCTTTATTTCTACCTTCATTTTGTTATGTACCCAGTAGTCATGCAGCAGCAGGTTGTTCAGTTTCCAACTTCTGCAGACTTAAATGTCCCTGTCTAACAGCTTTGAAGAGAGTAGTGGTTCTCCCAGCACACAGCTGGAGATCTGAGAATGTACAGACTGCCTCCTCAAGTGGGTCCCTGACCCCGAGTAGCCTAACTGGGGGACACCTCCCAGTAGGGGCCAACCGACACCTCATACAGCTAGGTGCCCCTCTGAGACAAAGCTTCCAGAGGAAGGATCCGGCAGCAACATTTGCTGTTCTGCAATATTTGCTGTTCTGCAGCCTCCGCTGGTGATACCCAGGCAAACAGGGTCTGGAGTGGACCTCCAGTAAACTCCAACAGACCTGCAGCTGAGGGTCCTGACTGTTAGAAGGAAAACAAATGAACAGAAAGGACATCCACACCAAAACCCCATCTGTACATCACGATCATTGAAGGCCAAAGGTAGATAAAACCACAAAGATGGGGAGAAACCAGAGCAGAAAAACTGAAAATTCTAAAAGTCAGAGCGCCACTTCTCCTCCAAAGGAACGCAGCTCCTCACCATCAATGGAACAAAGCTGGACAGAGAATGACTTTGACAAGTTGACAGAAGTAGGCTTCAGACGATCGGCAATAACAAACTCCTCTGAGCTAAAGGAAGATGTTCAAACCCATCTCAAATAAGCTAAAAACCTTGAAAAAAGATTAGACAAATGGCTAACTAGAATAAAAAGAGTAGAGAAGACCTTAAATGACCTGGAGGAGCTGAAAACCATGGCATGAGAACTACATGATGCATGCACAAGCTTCAGTAGCTGATTCGATCAAGTGGAAGAAACAGTATCAGTGATCGAAGATCAAATGAATGAAATGAAGTGAGAAGAGAAGTTTAGAGAAAAAAGAGTAAAAAGAAACAAACAAAGCCTCCAAGAAATATGGGACTATGTGAAAAGACCAAATCTACGTCTGATTGCTGTACCTGAAAGTGACAGGGAGAATGGAACCAAGTTGGAAAACACTCTTCAGGATATTATCCAGGAGAACTTCCCCAACCTAGCAAGGCAGGCCAACATTCAAATTCAGGAAATACACAGAACACCACAAAGATACTCCTCGAGAAGAGCAACTCTAAGACACGTAATTGTCACATTCACCAAAGTTGAAATGAAGGAAAAAATGTTAAGGGCAGCCAGAGAGAAAGGTTGGGTTACCCACAAAGGGAAACCCATCAGACTAAGAGTGGATGTCTCGGCAGAAACTCTACAAGCCAGAAGAGAGTGGGGGCCAATACTCAACATTCTTAAAGAAAAGAATTTTCAACCCAGAATTTCATATCCAGCCAAACTAAGCTTCATAAGTGAAAGAGAAATAAAATCCTTTACAGAAAAGCAAATGCTGAGAGATTTTGTCACCACCAGGCCTGCCCTACAAGAGCTCCTGAAGGAAGCATTAAACATGGAAAGGAACAACCAGTACCAGCCACTGCAAAAACATGCCAAATTGTGAAGACTATCAATGCTAGGAAGAAACCGCATCAACTAATGAGCAAAATAGCCAGCTAACATCATTATGACAGGATCAAATTCACACATAATAATATTAACCTTAAATGTAAATGGGCTAAATGCTCCAATTAAAAGACACAAACTGGCAAATTGGATAGAGAGTGTGTTGTATTCAGGAGACCCACCTCACCTGCAGAGACACATACAGGCTCAAAATAAAGGGTTGGAGGAAGATCTACCAAGCAAATAGAAAACTAAAAAAAAAGCAGGGGTTGCATTCCTAGTCTCTGATAAAACAGACTTTAAACCAACAAAGGTCAAAAGAGATGAAGAAGGCCATTACATAATGGTAAAGGGATCAATTCAACAAGAAGACCTAACTATCCTAAATATATGTGCACCCAATACAGGAGCACCCAGATTCATAAAGCAAGTCCTTAGAGACCTACAAAGAGTCTTAGACTCCCACACAATAATAATGGGAGACTTTAACACCCCAATGTCAACATTAGACAGATCAACAAGACAGAAAGTTAACAAGGATATCCAGGAATTGAACTCAGCTCTGCACCAAGTGGACCTAATAGACATCTACAGAACTCTCCACCCCAAATCAACAAAATATACATTCTTCTCAGAACCACATTGCACTTATTCCAAAATTGACCACATAGTTGGAAGTAAAGCACTCCTCAGCAAATGTAAAACAACAGAAATTATAACAAACTGTCTCGCAGACCACAGTGCAATCAAATTAGAACTCAGGATTAAGAAACTCTCTCAAAAATTTAGCTTTTCAACATTGAGTATGATGTTAGCTATAGGATTGTCATATACAGCCTGCTATGGTTTGAATGTAATTTCTCCCTGCCAAAACTTATGTTAAAATTTTATCCCAACAAGGCAGAGTTGGGAAGAGAGGCCTGGTGGGAAGTATTTGGATCATGGGGACAGATCTCTTATGAATAGATTAATGGCCTCCCTCAGGAGTGCATGACCTTGTGTTAGTTCCCAGATTATTAAAAATGGTATTCTTCCTTGGTTTCTCTGTCTTGCTTACTCTCTTGCTATGTGATTCATTTTTATCCATCTGCTCTCCTTTCACTTTCTGCCATGAGTTGAAGCAGCCTGAGGCCCTGATGCAAGTAACCAATCTCAAAACTTCTGGTCACAAGACTTGTGAGCCAAATAAACCTCTTTTCTTTGTACATTACCCAGCCTCAGGTATTCTGTTACAGCAACACAAAACTAAATAAGACGTGGCCTTTATTGTGTTGAAGTACATTCCTTCTATACCTAATATGTTGAGAACCTTTATCATGAAAGTATATTCTATTTTGTCAAATGCTTTTTCTGCATCTATTGAGATGATCATGTGATTATTATTCTTTATTCTATTAATGTAGTATATCACACTTATTGAAGTGTGTATGTTAAGCCATCCTTGCATCAAGGGATAATTCTATTTTATGATGGTGTACCTTCCTTTCAATGTAGTGTAGGATTTGGTTTGATAGTATTTTGCTTAAGACTTTTGCACACATAGTTATGAGAGATACTGGCTTGCAATTTTCTTTTCTTGCAGTGTCCTTCTCTGGTTTGGAATCTGGTAATTGGTAATTCTGGCCTTGTAAAATGACTCTGGATGTGTTCCCTCCCCTTCAATGTTTTTGAAGAGTTTGGAAAGCACTGATATTAATTCTTCTTAAATGTTTTGCATGATTTACCAGTGAAGCTATAAGATCCTGGGATTTTCTTTGCAGGAAGGGTGTTGATTACTGATTCAATCTTTTTACTCATTTTCTGTTTATTCAGATTTTATATTTCTTTATGATTTAGTCATGGTAGGTTGTATATTTTTACGAGTTTGTCTATTTTATCTAGTTACCCAACTTTTGGCATATAATTGTTCATGGCACCTCTTACAATTTTTTATATTTCTTTAGTATCTGTTGTAACATCTCATATTTCATTTATAATATTATTTAATTGAGTTTTATTTTTTTCTCAGTTTAGCTAAAAGTTGTTTATTTTGTATATCTTTTCAGAAACCACCTCTTAATTTCAATAATCTTTAAAAAAAATTGTAGTCTCTATTCTTAAATTTCTCCTTTGATATTTCCTTCTTTCTACTAACTTTGGGTTTAGTTTATTCATTTTCTAGTTCCTTACGGTATACAAGATAATGTTAGATTGTTTATTTGAGTTTTATAATTTAAACATCTTTTTGCTAAAAACTTTTTTTAGTATTGCTTTTGCTGAATCCTATAAGTTTTGATATGTTGTGTTTCTATTTTTGTTTTTTCTCAAGATATTTTTATTTCCCTTTTGATTTCTTCTTTGACTCATTGGATGTTGGAAAAGGTATAATTTGAGTCATACATTTTTGTAAATGTTTAAATTTTTTTCCTGTTATTGATATATGGTTTTATACCAATGTGATCAGAAAAGATGCTTAATATGGTTTTAATCTCATTACATTTGTAAGGCTTATAGCCTAACATGCAATCTGTCCTGTATATTTTTGTTAGGTTCATTTGGTCTATAGAGTTGTTCAAGTCCGATGTTTTCTTGTTGATTTTCTGTTTGGATGATCTATCCAATATTGAAAGTGGGATATTAAAATTCCCCATTATTATTGTATTAGTGTCTATTTCTCCTTTCAAATCTGTTAATATTTGCTTTATATATTTGGGGTCTCTGATGTTGGGTGCATATACACTTATAATTATTACATCTTCCTGGTGAATTGACCATTTTATCATTACATAATGATCTTCTTTCTTTCTTCTGACAGTTTTTGACTTAAAGCCTACTTTGTTTGATGCAAGAATAGACATTTATGTTCTTTTGGTTCGCATTTAAACAAGATATCTATCTGAACTTTTTGGCCTATGTGTGTCTGTAAAGTGAATCTCTTGTAGGCAGCAGAAAGTTGAATCTTGTTGTTTATTAATTAAACCACTGTGTGTCTTTTGATTAGGGAATTTAATCAATTTGCATTTAAAGTAATTATTATCAGGTAAGGAGTTTTTGCCATTTTATTCTTTATTTTATAATTGATTTTTAGTTTTTCTGTCTCCTTCTTAATTTATTGTGTTCTTCCTTTGAGATTTGATGATATCTTATAGTGGTATGCTTTGACTCTTCTCTCTTTATATTTTGTTTATCTATTACAGTTATTGTGTTTATCATGAAGTTTATTTAAAACATTTTACAGATATAACAGTCTATTTTAAGTTGATAACAACTTCAATCACATACAAAAACTGTACTTTTACTTCTTTCCAACCACACACACACTTTCTGACATTGATGTCACAATTTACATCTTGTATATTGTGCATCCATTAATAAATTATTAGTTATACTTTTTAATACTTTGATATTTAAATTGTATAGTAGAGTTAATAATTTATGCATAACCATTAGAGTATTAGAGTATTCTGTAATTGAAAGAAAAATACCTTTACCAATGTGTTATTTCCTTTCATATGTTTTTATGCTATAAATCTGTATCCTTTCATTTTAGTCGGAGAAAGCCCCTTTAGCATTTCTTATAAGGAAGGTCTAGTCATGATAAACTCTCTTACTTTTCATCTGTTTAGGAAGTCTTTTTTGTTTCTTTATTTCTAACTGATGGTTTGGGAGGTATAGTTTTCTTTGTTGGCAATTCTGTGTTTTTAGTTTTCACTTTCAGCACTTTGAATGAATCATACTAATCCCTCCTGTTCCGCAAGATTTCGGCTGAGCAATCCATTGATAGTCTTACAGATGTTCCCTGCTATGTGACAAGTCACTTTTCTCTTACTGCTTTCAAAAATTTTTTGTTTTTGACTTTTGACAATTTGATTGTAATGTTACTTGGTGTATTTCTCTCCAAATATGACCTGTTTGGATTTCTTTGGCCTTTATGAAACTGGATATTCATTTCCCACTTAAGATTTTAAAATTTTTCAGTCATCAGTATTTTTAAGTAAGCTTTCTGCTTCTGTCCTTTCTTTTTCTTCTGGTATTTGCATATATGAGTTTGTTTGATGGAGCTTCATAAGTCTTTTAAGTACTTTGTATTCTTTTTAAATTGTTTTTGCTCCTTCGCCTAGATAATTTCAAATAACCTGTCTTCAAAATTCACTGATTCTTTTTTCTGCTTGATCAAGTCTGCCTTCGAACAGTAAATTTTTCTCTTCAGTTATTGTATACTTCAGCTTCAGTATCTCTATTTGTTTCTTTTTTGTAATTTCTTTCTTTTGTTAATATTTTCATTTTGTTCACATATTATTTCATTAATTTTATGTATTTGTTATATTTGTGTTCTTTTGTAACTCTTGGGGCTTCTTTCAAATAATTATTTTGAATTTTTGTCAGCTTAGTCACAGATCTTTATTTCTTTTGGGTTGCCTATTAAAGATTTACTTCTTTCTTTAATTGTGTCTTTTTTATTATTCATGCTTTTTGTACATATGCTTTCCTGTATGCACATTTGAAGAAGCATCTGTGTCTGCCAGTCTTTATGGACTTGTTTTGACTGGAAGGGACTTTCATCATCTACAGTGCTTGATATAGGAAAAGATAGAGACCCACTTCAATGAGTGCACTAAAAGTCTAGAGACAAGCCCCTTTAACATTATTCCCTCCCTCTTAGAGGAAAAGCCTTACAGCTATGCATTTTTTTTTTCCTATTTCACATAGTGGTACCAGCTGCAAGAGAATAATTAATTTTTTTCTTACTTTTTTTTTTGTTATTGCTAGCTATTCCAAGGAACCAAATTCCGTGGAGAAAAACTGGCTTCACAGCGAGTGCTCTGAAATGCTAGGTATACGCCCCCTTCGCTTCCTTCCCTCCCTCAGAGGAAAAAAATCTCAGTTCTGCTCGTCTTCCCAATCTTGCAGAGCAGTGCTGGATGTAAGGGAATGCTGTCCCCATCTCTTTTTGTAGGTATTCCAGGAGACCAGGCCCTGATGATGACTCAGCACTCACTGTGAAACAAGATTAAAAACATGCCTCACGAAGGGTGTCCTCAGAAGCCAGGAGGCCAGACATTTAGGCACACACTCCAACCAATATCACTCCCCTCACCCCATGGGAGAAATCATGGGCTGAAGCAATTTTTGTGGTGCAATGTTAAGCTGGTTTGGGGAAAGGACTGATGCAATAAAGTGAAATTTATCTTATTACCAATATAAATGCAACTGCTTTCAGTCTGTGCTCCTCTGGGATGCTTCTCCTCAAGGCAAAATCATTGTTCTATCAATGTTTCTGTAGAAAAACAAGAGCTAGGACTTCCTACTCCACTATCTTGCTTACATCACTCAGATATTTGCTTATTTCTTCAGCAGTTGTATACATTTTCTACAAAGGTCTCCCATGAATAAAAGTTTATTTCTTATAGTGTGTTTTAGTAAGGTTTCTTATTTGCAAACAATAAAAATTAGCTCAATTGGTTTAGCAAAAGAGTACCTTATTAAATGCATATTAAGTTTAAGTGTCTTATTTTTCCTTACCTCTTTTTCTTTTTTGTCTTTCTTGAATATTTTAGTCCAAAAGCCATTTTTTTGGAGTTGAGCAATGGGACCTGTTTCAGGGTATCAAAAATGGAGTAAGGTGAGCATTGGCCTAGCAGAGCAGCCAGTGTGGGCTTTATAACCTGAGCAGACTGGGGAGAGATTCTGTGTGGCAGGAGTCAGGGAGTTCTGGTATGAGTAGGATATGGAGCCCTATTCTGAGGGAATGACACAGTGGGGTATCAAAACATGAGTGAGGTGAGAAGAGTGTACATGCAGGATTTATGAGGAGTGTAATAATCAACCCAATGTATGGTTTGGAGCCTGAAGGGAATAAGGAGAGAGGTGTACGGAGAGGTGTCCTATGTGCAGGGAGGTGTCCCAGTACTTGGTTTTGGAAACTAAACAAAGTGTAGAGGGCATCTATGCAAGATGACAGCTCTGGATGGGGTGTTGGAATCTAAGCATAATGAGGAAGTTTGAGTTCCTCACTGTGGGCAAGAACGGGGATACAATTGACAGTGATAGGATGTTGATTAAATACATGAAGATTAATTTTAAAATTTAATAGATGGAGAACATGGGAGCTAGGTTTCTCACCACCTGTTAGCAGCAACATGACAATAGCAATGTACACATGTAGTTCCCAAATACTGGTTTCTTTTCTTTCTTTCTTTCCTTTTTTTTTTTTTTTAGAGGAAGAGTCTTGCTCGGCCACCCAGGCCACAGTACAGCACTGCAATCTTTGCTCACTGCAACATCCACCTCCCAGGTTCAAGCAATTCTCCTACCTCAGCCTACCAAGTAGCTGGGATTACAGGGGCATGCCACCATGCCCAGGTAGTTTTTGTATTTTTAGTAGAGACATGGTTTCACCACATTGGCCAGGTTGGTCTCAACCTCCTGACCTCATGATCCACCTGCCTCGGCCTCCGAAAGTTCTGGGATCACAGGTGTGAGCCACTGCGCCCAGTCCCAAATACTGGTTTCTAAACATCATCCTAACTAAAGGGAACAAAGACTCATTAAAGAAAAGGTTAATTCCAATGTTGGAGCAAAAAGAGTCACTCATGAGCCTGAGTCTTCTTATGCCAGAAAAAAGAAAGTGCTGAAATATTAAAGGGCATCACTATTAAAAAGGGCCTCCACTGAACAAATCTAAGACAATTTGAGCATCAAAAGGAATGTTAGTAAAAGCTTAAAATCCATCAAGTAAAATAGGAATCTGTATGTCCACATTACTTTTAAGAAATAAATTTAAAAACTGAAAGTTGGAAGGAATACCTACAAGGTCTCAAAGGACTCTTTTATTAAATACTTATTCATTTCAAAAAAGTTAAAGTTACTTCATAATGCCTGGCAGACCTCACCTTACTTAAGTGATCAAAATTATCTCATCAGTAATAGAACACATTGAAATTGAATGCCACCAACTAGAATGCAATGAGAAAAACACAGCCTCATGTCTATGATAGCCTGAGAAATATACATAATCTGAATCTAACAAGGAAACATCACATAAATCAAAATTAGGAACATTTCTACAGAATTACTTGTTTATTGAAAGCTGTCTAAGTCACGAAAGTAAGAAAACACTGAAGAATTTTTCCTGATTGAAGGCAATTGAAGAGAAATGGAAAACAAATGCAACATGTGATTCTGGGTGAAATTATTTTCCTATAAAGGCCTGGGACAATGAGTGAAACTTAAATGGGGCCTAAGTATTAGATAGTAGTGATATATCAATGTTAGTTTTATGATTTTGATGATTGTATTGTGTTTATTTAGAAAAATGCCCATTTCTTCGGATTGTACAGGGAAAATAAATCTTGTACCACATATATATATATATATATATATATATATATGGTACAAGTATGGCATATATATATGTGTGTGTATATATATATATATATATATATGGTACAAGGAGCCTCTGAAGTCACTCCTTTTTGTTTGTTTGTTTGGTTGGTTTTATATTTACTTTTGTTTTAGTATTTCTTTTCTTTTTGTACAGTAGCACTTGCTTCAAAATTCAGAATCACTGCATCTAATTTGCTAAGGCTAGATTACATGCCTGTGCCTAGCTGAAAAGGAGAGTAGAATAGTAAGTACTTTTTGTTTGTTTGTTTTATTATAAGAGGCTTTCACTTCCTCCAACCACACCCATGAGGTAGGGAATGTTTTAAACTTAAGTTGATACTTTAAGCAACCAAAAAATGTAAAATTGGCTGAGAAGGTCCATTCCTTTTGGTTCCTAGAATCGATATCCTTCTTATCACATAACTATATGGAGATATAATACCAGTTGATAACATAAAAGAACAATGTAGGTAGAGGCATAAATAGACCACTATAGTCATATGCTTTCTATATTATATAATAAATGTTAAAATATTAGCTCCAAAGTATACTATGAAAAGTGAAAGTTATATATTGTAATTCTTAAAGCCATTACTAAAAATTGAAAACAGATATGTCTAAACATCTAATAGAAAATGTAATAACATTCTAAAATATATTTAAATAATAAAGGTTAGGAAAAGAGTAACAGAAGAACAAAAAGCAGAGAACAAATAGATAAGAATTAAAATAGTAGACTTAACCATATCAATAGCTGCACTAAATGTTACAGATATAATTACTTCAATTAGATGCAATGGTTGTCAGAAAGGAGAAAAAACCAAGACTCAATTATAAGCTTTTTAAAATAGAAACTCTTCAAAAATAAATTCACAGATAAATTGAAAGTAAAAAATAGGAAAAGATATATTGTGCAACAGTAAGCATAAACAGTCAGGCATGGCTCTATGAATAATAGACATAGATAGACTTCAAGACAAGGTATATTATGAGAGATAAAGAGGGGCATTTCATAACGATGAAAGTATCAATTAGGTAGAAAGTCATTATAATCATAAATGTGTGTGTACCTAAAAACAAAGTTTCAACATACTTGAAGCATAATTTGACAAATTAAAGAGATAAATATGCAAATTTATAATTATAGTAAGAGATTTTAATACCACTTTGTTAGCAATTCCAACATCATCTAAACAGAAATCAATAAAGAAAGAGAGGTTCTAAACAACCTCATCCCTAGTTATCCACAGGGGACTGCTTCCAGTACTCACCCCATACCAAAATTGACACAAACTCAAGTCCTGCAGTCTGCCTCATGGAACCCACTTAGAGGAATAGTTGGCCCTCCATGTACATGGGTTTTGCATTCTGCAAATACTATATTTTATTTTATTTTATTTTATTTTATTTTAAGAGATGAGATCTCATTCTGTCTCCTAGGTTGGAGTGCATTAGTGAGATAAATCATAGCTCACTGCAGCCTCAAACTCCTGGGTTTCAGGAATCCTTCCACCTCAGCTGGTAGCTTGAGACCATAGGCACATGCTGCCAATACGGGATTTGTGATCCACATTTGATCCACATTTGCAAATGTAGAACCTCCCAATATGAAAGCCCCACAGTATTTATTGAAAAATTCCAAATTTAAGTAGACATGCACCATTCTTTTATAAAATTATATATAATTTTATAATGCAATAGTCAAAAACTGCGGAATACAGATTTTCTTCAAGTATATTTGGTGTGTTTGACAAGCTAGCTAGGCCATAAAACAAGTCTTAATATATTCAAAAGAATTAAACCATGTATGAATTCTGACCATAGTAAACAATACTAAGTACAGAAATGGGAAGATAAGTAATAAGCTTGAACAAATACTTCACATAAAAAATATATAAATGGCCAGTAAGCATATAACATGCTCAAAATCATTAGTCCTTAGAAAGGTGCAAATTAAAACCACAATGACAGTCACTGGACATACATTAGAACAGTTGCATCTTAAAAGACTGAAAGTATGAAGAATTGGAAAAAATGTGGAAAAAACTTGAACTCTCATTCCCTGGTAGTGAGAATGTAAAATGATATTGCTGCTTTGGATAGCTTTTTGTCAGTCTCTTCCAAATTAAACAAGTATCTGTCACATGACCCATCTATTCTACTGATAGGAATTTACTCAAGACAAAAGAAAGCATTTGTCCTTGCAAAAACTCGTACATAAACATTCATAACAGCTTTATGCAAAACATAAAAAACAAGAATTTACCCAAAGGTGAATGGGTAAACAAAATATGGCACATCAGTATAATGGAATACTACTAAGCATAAAGGGAAATGAATTACTGATACATGCAATAACACGAGTGAAGAAACTTTAAAATCATTGTGCTAACTGTAGGAAGCCAAACACAAAGAGTGCATTCTGTGTGATTCCATTCATACAAAATGCTAGAAAATGCAAATTTATTTATAGTAATAAAAAGCGACTCAGTTCATTGCCTGAGACAGGGAATGGAGGGAGGGATAGACTTCAAAGTTTCAAGATGGTTTGATGGAAATGTTCTGTGTCTTAGAGATCGTGGCAGTTATTTCATTGATGTAGGAATTTATCAAATTTCATTTAACACTTTAAATTGATGGATTTTATTACATGTATTTTATGCCTAAATTAAGTTTATTTTTTAAAGCCAACTGTAGTCCACCATAAACTAGCACTCTTCCAAACAGGAGATGCTCCTTAAGCCTGGCTCCTAAAGTGAGAAATTAAAAAATGTGGAGCTGGAGGGGACTGAGGGGATCATGGCGGACAGGAGGCAGGACTAGATTGCAGCTCTGACTTGGGTGAACAGAACAGCATGTGGAGGTTCACATCATGAATTTTTGCTCTAGAACAACTGCAGGGATAAATTGGGAAACCTGAGAGGATTTACAGACCCCATGAAGGGAGTGGGTTGCTCCTGCAGGACCCAGGAGACACCCTGAATACTGTGAGTGCCCAAACTGTGGAAGTGGGAAAGAGAGATCATCCGCAGCTGAACACACACCCCCACTGGGGAGACTGAAGGTCCAGATTACAGGAGAAGATTCTGACCTTACCTGGAGCTGAGTCAATTTAGAGAGCTGAGTGAAATTCAGGGGTAGAGGAAGCAGTGGGAAAAGCCCTGGGAGCTCGCTCGGTCCCCTAGTAACCTGTTTCTGCCTGGCCTCACAGGGGTTTTCCCGGAGGGCAGCCAGACGTTCTGGAAAAAGCCACAGGAAGAAGGAAACCTCCAGCTAAGTTCTGTAACAATTTGAACTGGCCAGAACTCAGGGGAAGGCATGAATCTGGTGTGCAAACTCCATCGGCAGGAGAAGAAAGAAAGCCATATTTGCTTTCACAGCTGGGAGGCAGCAAGTACTCAGCCCTGCTCACCCAATGCCTGCAAATAGACTTGGTGCTGTTGGGGATGGGCAGAGTGGAAGTTAGACTGGGCCTTCAGATTGCATGGGAACTGGGTGAGGCCTGTGACTGCTGGCTTTCCCCCATTTTTTCTGACAACTTGCATGACACAGTAGAGACAGTCATAATCCTCCTAGTAACATAACTCCATTGACCTGGGAGCCTCACCCCCATTCTCCACGGCAGCTGCAGCAAGACCCGCCAAAGGAGAGTCTGAGTTCAGACATGCCTAGCCTTGCCCCCACCTAATGGTCCTTCCTACGTATTCTGGTAACTGAACACAAAGGGCATATACTCTTGGAAGTTCTAGGGCCTCACCCACCATCTGTTCCTCCCCCTACTGCCACAATCCTAAACATATATGTGCCTAATACTGGAGCTTCCAAATTTATAAAACTTTTACTGATATACCTAAGAAATGAGATAGGCAGCAACACAATAATAGTGGGGGACTTCAATACCCCACTGACAGCACTAGACAGGTCATCAAGACAGAAAGTCAGCAAAGAAACAATGGATTTAAACTACACCCTGCAATAAATGGATTTAACGGATATATACAGAACATTCCATCCAACAATCTTAGAATATACATTCTGTTCAATAGCACATGGAACTTTCTCCAAGATAGACCATATCATAGGCCAGAAAATGAGCCTCAATAAATTTAAGAAACTTGAAGTTATGTCAAGCACTCTCTCAGGCCACAGTGGAACAAAAGTGGAAATCAACCCCAAAAGGAACCTTCAAAACCATGCAAATACATGGAAATTAAATAATGTGCTCCTGAATGATCACTGGGTCAAGATGAAATCAAGATGGAAACTAAAAAAATTCTTCAAACTAAATGACAATAGTGACACAACCTATCAAAACTTCTGGGACAGAGCAAAGGCAGTGCTAAGAGGAAAGTTCACAGTCCTAAATGTCTACATCAAAAAATCTGAAAGAGCACAGACAATGTAAGGTCACATGTCAAGGAACTGGAGAAAAAAAAAAAAAAAAAAACCCAAACCCAGCAGAAGAAAGGAAATAACCAAGATCAGAGCAGAACTAAATGAAATTGAAACAACAACAACAACAGAAATACAAAAGATAAATGAAATAAAAAGCTGATTCTTTGAAAAGATAAATAAAGTTGATAGACCATTAGCAAGATTAACCAATAAAAAAGAGAGAAAAATCCAATCAATAAGAAATGAAACAGGAGATATTACAATTGACACCACAGAAATATAAAAGATCATTCAAGGCTACTATGAACACCTTTACGTGCATAAACTAGAAACCCTAAGAGAGATAGATAAATTCCTGGAAACATACAACCCTCCTAACTTTAATCAGTAAGAATTAAATACCCTGAACAGACCAATAACAAGCAGCAAGATTGAAATGGTAATTTAAAAATTACCAACAAAAGAAGTCCAGGACCAGATGGACTCACCGCAGAATTCCACCAGACATTCAAAGAAGAATTAGTACCAATCCTACCGACACTATTCCACAAAAGAAAGAGGGAACCCTCCCTAACTCATTCTATGAAGCCAGTATCACTCTAAAACCAAAACCAGGAAAGGACACACACAAAAAAGAAAACTACAGACCAATATCCCTAATGAATATAGATGCTAAAATCTTTAACAAAATACTAGCTAACCAAATCCAGCAACATATCAAAAAGATAATCCACTATGATCAAGTGGGTTTCATACCAAGGATGCAGGGATGGTTTCATATATGAAAGTCAATAAATGTGATAAATACCACATAAACAATTAAAAACAAAAATCGTATGATTATCTCAATAGATCCAGAAAAAGCATGCAACAAAATCCAGCATCGCTTTATGATTAAAACTCTCAGCAAAACCAGCATACAAAGGACATACTTCAATATAATAAAAGCCATCTATGACAAACACACAGCCAACATAATACCAAATAGGTAAAAGTTTAAAGCATTCCCTCTAAGAAACTGAAACAAGACAAGGATGCCCACTCTCACACTCCTCTTCAACACAGTACTGGAAGTCCTAGCCAGAACAATCAGACAGGAGAAAAAAATAAAGGATCTCAAAATCAGTAAAGAAGAAGTCAAACTGTCACTCTTTGATGATGATATGATTTTATACCTAGAAAACCCTAAAGATTCATCCAGAAAGCTCCTAAAACTGGTAAATGAATTCAGCAAAGTTTCTGGATACAAAATTAATGTACACAAATCAGTTGCTCTTCTATACACCAACAGTGACCAAGCTGAGAATCAAATCAAGAACTCAACCACTTTTACAATAGCTGCCAAAAAATAAAATACTTAGGAATATATCTAACCAAGGAGGTAAAAAAAACCTCTACCAGGGAAACTGCAAAACACTGCTGAAGGAAATTATAGACAACACAAACGAATAAAAACACATCCCATGCTCACAGATGTGTAGAATTAATATTGTGAAAATGACCATACTGCCAAAAGCAATCTACAAATTCAATGCAATTCCCATCAAAATACCACCGTCATTTTTCACAGACTTAGAAAAAACAATTCTAAAATTCATGTGGAACAAAAAAAGAGCTCACATAGCCAAAGCAAGACTAAGCAAAAAGAACAAATCTGGAGGCATCACATTACCGGATTTCAAACTATAAGGTCATAGACACCAAAACAGCATGGTACTGGTATAAAAATACTCACATAGACCAATGGAACAGAATAGAGAACCCAGACATGTACCCAAATACTTACAGCCAACTGATCTTTGACAAAGCAAACAAAAACTTAAAGTGGGGAAAGGACACCCTTTTCAGCAAATGGTACTGGGATAATTGACTAACCACAGGTAGCAGAATGAAACTGGATCCTCATCACTCACCTTATAAAAAAATCAACTCAAGATGGATTAAGGACTTAAATCTGAGACCTGAAACTATAAAAATTCTAGATTATAACATTGGAAAAACCCTTCTAGACATTGGCTTAGGCAAGGATTTCATGACCAAAAACTCAAAAGCAAATGCAATAAAAACAAAGATAAATAGCTGGAACTTAATTAAACTAAAGAGCTTTTGTACAGTAAAAGGAACAGTCAGCAAAGTAAACACACAACCCACAGAGTGGGAGAAAATCTTCATAATCTATACATCTGACAAAGGACCAATATCCAGAATCTACAACGAACTCAAACAAATCAACAAGAAAAAAACAAATAATCCCATCAAAAAGTGGGCTAAGGTCATGAATGGACAATTTGCAAAAGAAGATATACAAATGGCCAACAAACTTATGAAAAACTGCTCAACATCACTAATGATGAGGGAAATGCAACTCAAAACCACAATGCAATACCACCTTACCCCTGCAAGAATGGCCATAATAAAAAAAATATATATATATATATATATATATATATATATATATATATATATATATATTAGATGTTGGCCTGCATACGGTAAACAGGGAATACTTCTACACTGCTGGTGGAAATGTAAACTAGTACAACCACTATGGAAAATAGTGTGGAGATTCCTTAAAGAACTAAAAGTACATCTACCATTTGATCCAGCGATCCCACTACTGGGTATCTACCCAGAGGAAAAGAAGTCATTATATGAAAAGGATATATGCACATGCACGTTTACAGAAGCACAATTTGCAATTACAAAAACAGAACCAAACGCCCATCAATCAACAAGTGCATAAAGAAACTGTGAGATGCATATATATATATATATATATATATATATATATATATATATATGTACCCATTTGGGGCATTTATGTGCAGTTGTGTCCAGAGTGACCTGAAAGGAAGTTTTATATATATATATACATATATATATATATATATATACATATATATATATATATATATACATATATATATATATATATATACATATATATATATAATGGAATACTACTCAGCCATAAAAAGGAACGAATTAATGGCATTTGCAGTGACCAGGATGAGATTGGAGACTATTATTCTAAATGAACTGACCCAGGAATGTAAAACCAAACATCGTACGTTATCACTCATAAGTGGGAGCTAAGCTATGTGGCGGTAAAAGCATAAGAATGACACAGTGGACTTTAGGGACTCATGAGGAAAGGGTGGGAAGGAGGCGAGGGATAAAATACTACAAATAGGATGCAGTGTACACTGCTTGGGTGATGCGTGCACCAAAATCTCACAAATCACCACGAAAGAACTTCCTCATGTAACAAAACACCACCTGTCTCCCAATAATCTATGGAAATAAAAAACTAGTGGAACTAGCAAGTGAGAAATATGCCTTTGCTGCTTTAAGCTCTTGAAATTTCAGGGTCTTTTATTATCACAGCAGAATCTAACTGTTCCAAATTACTATTAATTTGTTTATTGATGATCTTTCACATGTGAGCCTAGGGATTTCAGCACTACACTACGGTAGACCTGATTGACTTCGTGTTAATCCTATCCTGCACCATTTGGGACATTTATGTGCGTTTGTGTCCAGAGTGACCTGAAAGGAAGTTTTCTAGAGACTTAGAAACCTAGATCTTATTTTATTTTATTTTATTTATTTATTTTGAGATGGAGTCTTGCTCTGTCACCCACACTGGAGTGCAGTGGCATGATCTCCGCTCACTGCAAGCTCCGCCTCCCAGGTTCACGCCATTCTCCTGCCTCAGCCTCCCAAGTAGCTGGAACTACAGGTGCTCGCCACCACACCTGGCTAATTTTGTTTTTGTATTTTTAGTAGAGATGGGATTTCACCATGTTAACCAGGATGGTCTCGATCTCCTGACCTCATGACTTGCCCACCTCAGCCTACCAAAGCGCTGGAATTACAGGTGTGAGCCACTGCACCCAGCCACGATCTTAAAAAGGTGATAGCTTTTCTCCTATGAGCTTTCTTATGTATGAATGTGAGGCCAGATTAACTAAATCCGTCTTCCTGCCCTCTTAGAATTTAAAGAATATCTAAGAGGAAAAATGGAGTTATGTCACTAATTAGAACATTTAGAAAGCCCTAACAGTGGACTACCAATTTTGTGAAACAATAAATGTCTTTATTTTAAAAGTCAGTTTAAATTGACTTTTATATTACTTGTAGCTAAAGGCATTCTGACAAACTAATACATACATACAATGCTGTGCTAACATGTTAAATCCTCAATAAAGTGTCTTATGCAAACAAATTTCTCTTAAAGAATAATTCTTGTCTTTAGAATGATTTTCCTTCATTCCTCAAAATGTCTAACTTTGAAATCATATTTATTTCTCATATTTTCCAAAATGATAAAGTATCTATTATTTTTTTGACATAATCCTTTTCAGACTTGTAGGCTTTAGCCCTGAACATTTATTTTACTTGTTCATCAAAAGCTTTGAAGCACAAAGTAAAAGCCATAATTCCTCCTTCACATGCAGGCCAGCTTTACCCTTTTCCATGTGTTATTATTATCACTTTCTATTTAATTCAGAATATCTTGCCACTATTTTACATGTTGCCAATTTTTCTAGTTCATGGTCACTCTACAACTCAGCTGTAGCAAAATTTCTCTGGCTGCCAGATCACATATACAGAACTTCCTCATTTCCCACCTACTCTAAATTTTCGCTAACTGGGTAAGAGAAATTTTAGGCATTTTATATTTAATATTTATATTTCTTTAATTTACAGTTAACTTACTTTTATTTCAACTAGATTTTCCATATTATATTGTGACTCCCCTGTTACTATTGCATATATTGTAGTTGTGATCCAAGGGTAACTTAAATGAAAGCAAAGATCAATCTGGACTGGGGTAACCTTAGAGATTTTAATGTTCTCTTGCAGCCTCTGAGCCACCTGCAAAACAGATAATGCTACACCTCAGCATGTCTCAAAAGTCAACTTTTTTTTTTTTTTTTTTTTTTTTTTTTTGAGACGGAGTCTAGCTCTGTCGCCCAGGCTGGAGTGCAGTGGTGTGATCTCGGCTCACTGCAAGCTCTGCCTCCCAGGTTCATGCCATTCTCCTGCCTAAGCCTCCCGAGTAGCTGGGACTACAGGCGCCCGCCACCACGCCCAGCTAATTTTTTGTATTTTTAGTAGAGACGGGATTTCACCGCGTTAGCCAGGATGGTCTCGATCTCCTGACCTCGTGATCCGCCCGCCTCGGCCTCCCAAAGTGCTGGGATTACAGGCCTGAGCCACCGCGCCCAGCCAAAAGTCAACATTTTTTATGAAGACAGATGGATTCCAAGAAATCCTTTTCTCCTCAACTCAGCCTTTCAGAGTTTATCCAATTTCAACCCTTTCACAAACCAACACATTAATCTATATGATCAGATAGGAAGGTGAAGAATATGTTACCAGGAGGGGATATATTCATCTTCTGCTTGTTTGCTCTCAGCATCCTATGACATTTTAATCGTTAATAAAGGCCCTTAACTGGACATTTAGGAATGTGCAAGCCTCTTCCACGTCCAAATAAATTTTAATTGCAGTTCAAATCAGTTAGTGCAAATTGATAAAGCAAAACTTTGTGAACAGCATTTTCCTGAGTCTGCTCCAGAACCAAAATAGTAAAAAGCATCTGAACCAGTTATCAAAAGAAAGTTCACAATCACAGACAGCCCAAGGTTACAGAACTTAATAATAACAGGTTATATAATAGTCCTATCAAAACCAATAGCCACGGATAAAGTGCCATTCAAAAGGCAGCAGGGACCTACCAAAAATCAACTCCACTTCTTCTGAAATTAGCTTCAGGACATTTTAGAAATCCAGGCCTAAGTGTCAGCTAGGTACCTCATCAAACCCCAAATTGCTTCTCTTCTCCCTTCCCCCAGATCCGTTAAGATGAAAAAGTCAACCTGCATGTCATCAAGCCAACAATGTTAGTCGAAATTATGGCTCAGCATGATTGTCTCTAATGGAGGCACAAGCACACAGGACAGCGTGGGTCTGGAATTTTACCCTGTATGACTCCAAAGAGTAGTTCAACCATTCTAGAGAAAAACTCCACCTATAAAATAAAGTCAGGTATGTGAAGTATGAAATAAAATTGACACTATTTTAACAGTGCATTGGAGTAAAATGCATTCAGTGAGGTCTTATCAGATAAATGGAGAAGAAAAGTCAGATATTTTCCTAAAATGCAATCTTTCTATTTTTATACTGAGTCTGAAGAAAACTAGAGATAAAGTAGAATAGTTGATGTCTTCAGTGTCAAGACCTTTGTAATTCTATTTACCAATCCTCCGTGGTAAACACTGGATGCAGAATGAGATCTTCCTGGAGATCTTTGGGAGTTAGCAGAGTCTTAATACCATTAAGGGACAAGAGTTCCTTCACTCTTGAGTAAGCAGACCTTGTACTGATGGGCCACCATTGAATAAATCCCAAACTTGCTCATTGAAACATGTTTAAAAAGAACAATGGATGGATGTATGCACCCACTGAAAGAATATTTTAAAATTATCTTTAGTGGATATTTACAACACACATAAACTTTATGTTTGTGTGTGTTTGTGTGTGTGTGTACAAAAGAGGAAAATAGAAACTTTATTGGTACTAAGGCAACTTCTATACAATCCAATAGCACATGAACTTTTCATCTTGTCTCTGGCTCATGCTCTTTGAAACAGATACTGCTAGTTGTTCACCTAAGAGCCTTTTTCCTTTTCCTCCTTAACAGAAATTTACTCTCTTCCATTTGACCATGTGTTTCAGGAGAGAGAGATACCAGCCTAAGCCTGGAATGAATTATGGTCAATATAATTTAACTATGGTGGTCCCATTTACCTTCCCACAGATTGATTAAGCTTTTAATTTCATTACAGTAAGCAAATGTTTTTGATCACTTAAAATATATTTTAATGACATTTCAGGATTTTTATCTCAGATTATAACTATGTATACCCTAACATGAATGTCCAGTCTTCTGCATTTTATAGTACCAGTTCTTGATTTAATTAAGGTCAATTGCATTTTATCTGAACAATCATTTAAATTCACTAATCTCTGAGAATATTCACTCCAAAATACTGCCACATTGTTTTATTTTCATGTATAGTCTAAGTTTTTATATTTGATCTACTTCTTGCATATATGTATGGCTTTCCTCACAGAAATCAGAAATTCTCTACCAATATAAGCAATAAAATAATAGGTTACTCTTATTTACTATAAGAACTCATTAGAACTAAGAATATACAAATGTATGATTAAGTAAAAACAAAACCAAAAAGACAAAACTGACAGTTGAAAAACATATTTATATTATTGATTAATTAAACAGGTCATAGAAGATATTAGGATTTTAAGGAATAGTGAAGTTTTTCAAGGAAAAGAATGATGAAAAAATAACTGATAATTTTACAGAAGGACATGGGGCATTGGTTATTTTAGTATACAGTAACTTCCCCTTACTCGGATAGATTAAGTTAGTAAGAGAGAATTTCAATGAGATGGACTCCTCCCATTGGGTAAGTTCTGGCTTTGTGTGCCACGTGATGTCAGGAAGTGGAGAGATAACTATTTCATGAAATCAGAGAATTCAGGAAAAAAACTAAATATACTGAAAATTTCAACAAAATAAAAAGCAGTTTTCATCTGTTAATCTTGGTGGAAAATTTATCTTCTTTTAGCTGTAAATGCTATATATCTAGTATTTCTGCAATAATGTATTTCTTCTACCTTTCGCAAAGTCTCCAGAAAAAAATTTAAATTGTCTAATGCATCTTATTAATTTGCATCTAGTCTCAAATTATAAAAATTAATAGGGCAAATTTAAAATAGAGAAATATAAAATAGAAATAAAGTTTTATTCCAAGCAAAAAATTAAAATTTTGGAAATCTCTCAATTAAAAATAATTAAATTACATGTCAAAAACCTGATCTATATACTGCCAGAGGATACTTCCCCCAAAATTACATCATCTACTTTCACAAAGATCTGCAGGTCAGAGCAGAAATTTTAATTCATCCACTATGTTCTACAGCCATTTCCTCAAGTCACCCTAACCCAATTTGCTGTTATGGCCCATTTGTCCCAAACTGAAAAATGTTTGGTCTCTAGTCTGTCTTAGAATTCAAGGAGTTATTTCTATAAGTATATTCTGGCATTCAAAACTTTCTTAAGAATGTAGATTATTTTTGACTCTCGTTCAACCAGTTCAATATGTACAACCTCTAAGGTGATTAAAAAAAAAATCCAAACTAGCTGGAATCATCTAATTTCTTAACAGAAGGATTTCCAGGAATTTTAGAATCTAGAAATGAGTGATGAGTGGTTTTGACATTTTTAAATAGCAGCATCCATAGATAATACATACTCATATTCATTGCTTCTTCTAAGATATAGGCTTTTTGAAAATTATCTGTGGGTAGTTTTCAAAATGTCTATAACCATTAAAATTCAGGTAGTCCAATATTTTTCCTGGTGTTTCTTCTAGCTTTTTTTCCTCCATCAGTTTTGCATCTTCTCTATTCTACCAATTACTGGTAAGAACTCATGAATCTATAGTATGAATACCTAGGTACATCCATCCCCAATTCCTTCTTGCCATATGAAGTTATGAAAGAAGGGCTCAGATGGTGAGAGGTAAAGCATTTACTATTTATTGTAATACAGCTGTTTTTTTACTCTAATTTTTGACAATTAAATGATTGGGAAAACCAAATTGCGATGATTAAAAGGATGAGCGCTTCTGTAATTCCACTGTTTATTGGCTGTGCAACATTACTAAATCTTCCCAAGCCCCAATTTCTTCATCTGTGAAAAGGAGATAATGTTACTATATCATAAGGTTGTTGTGAAGATTAAATAAGGCAATACCAATGAAAAACTTGGGGGAATAGCTGACACATTTAAGCATTTAATAAATTACTTGGGGAAGTAAATGTAAGGAATTCAAAATACAGCCAATCTTTTGCTTTCAGAAGAAATCTCAAGTGTTTTTCAAAAAGGCAGCAGTTTCTGGGGTTCTTCATGTTCTTTGGAGTGCAAGTAGGTAGACGGAAAGAGGCTCTCACAGGAAATAATATCTATGCTTTTCACAGTTTTATTATTCTTAGAATTCCTGACTTATCAAAAAATGTAAGAACAGAATAACATGTCACAGGTTAACACATCATCTGTAATTCTGACATTTGAAATGATGTGTACAGAACTTTCTCTACCATTCTTTTACTATTTGATTCCATTTTAAGTTTCCCTTTCTGATCAGAAATGTAGCTCTCTGAAAGAAATTGCTGAACTATAGGAAACAAAAATGAAATAATAATTTGAAAGGCAAACGGGAGCTATCAGTCAAATTTCTTTTTAAAATAGAGTATTTATTTCAGGCAACTTGTTGATGGCAAGAGGGGAGAAAATCTTTACTCCAGCACATTTCTTGTCTGATATGAAGAGCCTGCCCTACTTCGACATCGCATTGAAAAGGAGGGAAAAGCCTTGCTTCCTTAATTTAAATTGCACTCTTTCTCAATGGAAAGAGATTAGCAACGTTTCCCTTCATTTTGATTTTCAATGTCCCATTATCCCTCTGGTTTGCATTTAAGATCAGTCTTCTTTTAGGCTAAAAATTATCTTTGCTCCCCAGACAGGTTTGACAGCACTTAATTCTTAAATAAATCTTATAGAAAAAGAAAAAAAATGTACTCTGAAACAAAAAGATCGCATATTTTTCATGTTAAAATCTTCATTTATTTTCATTTTTCTTCAGAAACTAAAAGCTCTAAAATTGATGGAGTCTCTAACTTTTAAATGTTGCTAAGTCAAAGACCTTTCCTCATAATAAGTTCACCCAGAAACCAAGCAGCTTAGGGGACTTTCGTGCCATAGCCAATGCTTTCACAGGCTTTAAGTGCCTATTGTGATTTAATAGCAACAAGTTTAGAAAAATAGAAAAGCAATAACTAGAATTCTCTTTCCCAGAGTGTTCAATTAATTCAATTGGGCATTCAGTTGCTAAATTTTTAACAGAACTGGAGTCTCTAACCTTATTTCAATGAAAATAAGTAGAATACCATTAATTCCTTTTGGGCAGTACGTTTGATTGTGTGAAGAGGTTTGCATGCTTCAGCTTGTAACCTATTTCCCTTGACATATGAACAATATTTCCCTTGTATTTCAATGCAGAGGCTTAAGGCTAAGGTGTCAAATTTGTCTTTTATTTTCTACTTTTTTCCTTATACTTTACCAGATGAAATACCATAATCAAAAAACCTGAAAATAGCAAATTTTCCCCTGACAGTACTTCCAATTTCTACTTTTAACTAGATTATGTCCTGTCCCTTTCTTATCCCCATGAAAAACAAGTAAACATGGCCTGGGCTGTTGACCAAGAATGGCAAATACTGAAAACTAAATAAGATTACGATATGCTAAGTCATTAAGTGAATTCCCTTTAGAGAATGATTTCAATAATGGAATACTCTGAAGTCTCCAAAATTGCGTTGTAGAATACTTAATAAAGTAAAAAGATATATTAAGTGGAAGGGCAGGTTACAAAATACCATCTACTCTCTAATCATGTTTGTCTTACTTCTCCATCTGTACCCTTCACCCATCAATTTCTCATTTCCTATGCTCCAGTCACACAGTCCTCGGTATTCCTCAAAACTAGGGCAACCCTTGAATGGCCTAGCTAACCCACACTTCCAGCTCCCTTCTCCCCAATATCGTCTTCCAGAAGTGGTCTGAGACACTTTTGCTTTTGCTTTTCTAATTTAGGAGTCGCTGCCTTAATCCCTGTCTCTCTCTCATTCCACCCCACCCCTAACCCTTCAGTCTTTCTTCAACCCTATGAAAGTCAGAACTAGAGCTGCAGCTGACATTTTGCTGCCATAGAGGAAAAGCCACAAGAGCGACAGTGCGCTATTAAATGTTTAACAATTACTTTTTTTAATTTTTTTTATTTATTTTTATTTTTTTATTATACTTTAAGTTTTAAGGTACATGTGCACATTGTGCAGGTTAGTTACATATGTATACATGTGCCATGCTGGTGCACTGCACCCACTAACTCGTCATCTAGCATTAGGTATATCTCCCAATGCTATCCCTCCCCCCTCCCCCCACCCCACAACAGTCCCCAGAGTGTGATGTTCCCCTTCCTGTGTCCATGTGATCTCATTGTCCAATTCCCACCTATGAGTGAGAATATGCGGTGTTTGGTTTTTTGTTCTTGCGATAGTTTACTGAGAATGATGATTTCCAGTTTCATCCATGTCCCTACAAAGGACATGAACTCATCATTTTTTATGGCTGCATAGTATTCCATGGTGTATATGTGCCACATTTTCTTAATCCAGTCTATCATTGTTGGACATTTGGGTTGGCTCCAAGTCTTTGCTATTGTGAATAATGCTGCAATCAGTGTGGCGATTCCTCACGGATCTAGAACTAGAAATACCATTTGACCCAGCCATCCCATTACTGGGTATACACCCAAAGGACTATAAATCATGCTGCTATAAAGACACATGCACACGTATGTTTATTGCGGCATTATTAACAATTACTTTTTCTGAGGGACCTTATATGCAGTATTTGGTGACTTACTTGGTGTAAATATCTTCACCATGGTCTTTTCAATGCCAGCAATTTGACATAACGGCATCAAGTTAGGAAGAGCTGCATGCAATAAACACACTATGATACA
Organism: Homo sapiens; assembly: GCF_000001405.40. Taxonomy (NCBI): domain Eukaryota; kingdom Metazoa; phylum Chordata; class Mammalia; order Primates; family Hominidae; genus Homo; species Homo sapiens. The sequence goes on along the minus strand of NC_000004.12, from coordinate 129,565,681 downwards.
GTGTTTCCACCACACAGTTCCAACAGATAGAAATCATCTCAGGGGCATACATAACAATGAAATGTAGAACAATAATTAAGAAATGATGAGTTTTCAGTATTTATTACCTTTATTCTTAACATATCTTGTTAGTTCATAAAATTTAAGTTTTAATAAAGGCTGTGTTGCACAACCAATTCACAAATTCCCGGAAATTTAACAACTGGCTCTCATAGGATGGCTGCAGCACACCAGTGTTCAGTAGAATCACAGACACATGGTTCTGATAACACTGAACCAACAAATTATTGCTAAATCTGTCTACCCCAAACTTTGTGTTAAGTCAGAAAGTAAATATAGGTTTGATTAAGCTACTTGGCCAAGTTTTCTGCTACTTGCAGACTAGGTGTCCCTGATGTCCCCCACCAAACTCTTTCCTCCTTAGTCATGTTGCTTATTCATGACTTTACGGAGAACACTCCCTCACTCACAGTACCCGCAATATTCATGAGCTGGATCCTTTATAAAACTCGGGTTCCAGGACAAACTCATCCCCATGGAAAGTGTTTTCCTGATCCCCTATTCAACGTTTCCATTTTCTATGACTTTCCTTTGTTTTATTTCTTAACAGTTATAACTATTGGAAACTATAGTTTGTTTATTTGCATTGTTTATTTGCCTTATTTGTGTATTTGTTTATTGCCTGTATCTCTCACCAGAGGGAAAATGCTTTGAGAAAGGACCATTGAACTAATCTGTCTCGTTAATTGCTGACTCCCTAGCATCTACTTCAGAGCCTGGTTGCATAGTAGGCACTCAGTAGATATGAGTTCAGTTAATGTATCTGCATCCCAACCAAAATTCCTAAAAGGATAAACCAAATGAAGCTGGCTCATATGTCCAGGAAAAGCCACACAGGCATCTTTCCTATTAAGCTGCTTCCAGTGGTGGCTGGAATCTGTTAAATTTCTCACGGCAGTTCCTAAAATCTCTGAGGAAGTTTTTTAAATCATCCTAAAGTCTAAATTTTATTTTGCAATGGATTGTAATTTTTAACAGCTTTTTAAAGATACACATACCATAAAATTATCCTGCTTTAAGAGTACAATTCAATGATTTTTAGTAACTTTGCAGTTATTCAACCATCACCACAGTCCAATTTTGCAGTATGCTATGGTGTCGTATCTAAGAACTCTTTGCCTAACCTAAAGTTGTAATTGTTTTAGGATGTATCAAATTCAGAGCTATAAACTGTTCAAATGTTTTATACCCTGCAACATTTTCCATTTTTTCCACACTGAAATTATGTTTTATTTTGCAAGTTGGTATCTATTTTCATATTACTTACTGAACAAAATATCATGAAACCATTTTATTTGCCAAACTTTTTCTTAATATTTCTTCAATTTCTGAATATACTGAGTCATGCACTATGCCACTATTACACTTCTTCCTAACTAAAGATACCATACTTCATAGCGTGCAGCTGCAGGACCAAAGGCCAAAGACACATGATGGTGAGAATTGGGGAACTGGATGAAGGTAGTTTGGAGGATAGGGTAGATAAGGTTACAGGGAGAACATGGTCAGTATGGTTGAGAGACAGGTTACACTGAGCAAATAGATAAAGAGACTCAAGGTTCTCATTAGCAGAGAAGTTATTCATAAACATAGAAAGAGAGAAGACTAAAAAAGCCCCCAACCAAATGCTGTAGTGGAATATGAGTTATTGGTATAAATTCATGATTTTATAATACACATATATTGTAGATACATACAGAAACATCATAGATATATGATATTTGACTCTTTATGTATACATAATGCTCACATATAAAGAATATATATAATATATATGTTTTTCTAGGTGTGCCCACTGAGAGGGCATGGTAACAATAACCCATTGGCATTGTTTTCTATTCTCAAATCACTTTAATGTCTTGCTTAATATAAGATGGTAGATTCTCATATCTGCTTCTGTCTGCATTCAATCTGTTGTAATATGTTATTATGGTTTAAGGAAATGATAGAAATCAAGCCTTACATAGATGTGTAGTTGTAAATGACAGGAATATTTTTATAGTCTTTTCAGATAATTATAGATATACTTCTCTGGTACTACACCAAAACTCGCAAGTAATAATTCCTAAAGATTAATTGCAATATGGAATCTAAAATCCTGCTACTGAATTTTTGTATTTTGTTACATTAAAAATCATTTGTCTAACTTGCACATAAAATGAATTTTAATTTATGTATAATTATGTAACATCATTTAATTGTTGATTATTAAGAAATTTTGCTTTATTGATGTAAAAATATTTTCCAAGTGTTGACACATTTAAAATACAATATCAGGAAATTTACATTTGTTAATATCACCACTAATCTAATAAGAAAAGTCAGGCTGGAAAGCTGTTGCACTTATAGATGATAAATGACGAACACTTAAATTTTCCAAAAAATTTTATTATCCCTTGAGAGTTTGAAATTTATCTTTGATAAGATATTAATGACTGAATTATTTACATTAAAGTGGTAAAATCATTTATTTATTTAATCACTGCCAATATCTACATCTGAATAATGAGTATTCTTGTTAGTCATTCTTTCAAATAAAAAACATAACATATTCTACAAAAAGGTGGTTAGTTCAGCTTGTAACTTAGATAATCACACCAATGTGAAGACAGCAGTCCTACTCAGTCAAAATGCATCATTGATACTTCCTATTTTATTCACAGGGTATTTATTCTCAGAAGAAAAACGTGTGCTCAAGTCAACATATAAAATAATGAGATTGGATCCATATCTTACACCACATACAAAAAATAAGCCAAAGGGGAATGAACCCTAAATGTAAGGGCTAAAACTCTAAAAATATTAAAAGAAAACATAGGGCAAAAGATTTATGACAGTGGATTTGGTAATGATTTATCAGATATGACACATAAAGCATACACAACAAAAGAAAAAACAGATAAATTAGACAACATCAAAATTGAAAATATCTATGTATTAAAGAATACAAACAACAGAGTGAAAAGACAATGCACAGAATGGGAGGAAATATTTGCAAATCACATATCTAATAAGTTGTTAATATCCAGTATCTATCAAGATCTCCTAAAACCCAACAACAACAAAAAGCAGATTTAAATAGACATTTATCCAAAACAGATATGTAAATAGCCAATAAACACATGGAAAAATACTTAACATCATTTGTTACTAGGGAAATGCAAATGAACCCCACAATGAAATACATCCTCATACCCATTATGATAGCTACAGCAACAAAATAATATTGGTAAGGATATGGACAAGTTAAAACTCTTGTACATTACCACTGGGAAGGTAAATGTAATTGTACTACACCTGCCATAGAAAACAATATGGCAGTCCCTCAGAAAATTTAAAAACAGAATTCTCATAGGAGCATAACAATTCCACTTTTGGGTATACAACCAAAAGAATTGAAAGCAGGGACTCAAAGAGATATTTATATACCCACATTTATGGCAGTGTCATTTGCAAAAGCCAAGAGGTAGAAGCAATGTTAAGTGGTCATCGATGAGTAAGTGCATAAATGAAATGTGGTGTGTACATACAATGGAATGTTATTCAGCCTCAAAAAGGAAGGAAATTCTGACATATGCTGCTCCGTGGATGGATCTTGAAGATACTATGATCAATGAAGTAAGCCAGTCACAAAGGGACAAACACTATATGATTCCACTTACAAAGTTCCTAGAGTAGTCAGATTCATAGAGACAGAAAGTAGAATGGTGGTTGCCAAGGGATCAGGGAGGAGAGAAGGAGGAGTAGTTGTTTACTGGGCAAAGTTTTAATTTTGCCAAATGAAAAGAATTCTGGAGGTGAACTGTGGTGATTGTAGTACAACAATGTTAATGTACTAAATGCCACTAAATCATATACCTAGAAATAGTTAAGATGCTAAACTTTATGTTACATGTAGTTTATCACGACTAAATTTAAAAGAAAATGTGTACTCAGGGGTTGAGATTTAATAAAATTAATAATTTTTACCACACAATCAAAGACATTCTTAAGTGAAACAGACATTTTGTTTTTCTTTGAGTGAGTGGCAGGAAAGGGCACTACTGAACTACTGTGTTTCACCCTGTGCTACTAGTACAGTTTGCTGTTACTGCCTTGATTTTTGCTAAGGTGCCATAAGTTTATTCTCCACTACTATTGCATCATCAGTGCAAATATCAACATAGAAAAAAAAAACATTGTATTGTGGATATACAATATCATTTAAATATTATTATGAAAATATTTTTATTTTCACCTACTCCATAAAAGAGTTATAGGGAGCCCTCAAGGGTCTATGAACGCACATTTTGGAAACCACAAAGGTATTACAACACTTATATGCCATAATTAGTCAAGGGATATGGCTTTATTCAAAAAATCTTGACAATTTTTTATTAAAACTCAAATGCAAACAGTTACTCCATGCGATATATAATTCTATATTTATTTAATGTTAAAATAAATAAAAGTAATCAACTTATCTTTTAATCATTTCTCCACTAATCATCAGTCCTCCAAAATGTCCTTCCAGACAATATTAACTCTAAATCATTTGTCCATTATTTTTTCTTAAATAATGTGGGTTTATATTTCAGTTCTGATAATTTTTACAGTTTTTCTTAATCTATGAAATGACAGGAATCTAAGAAGAAAATAAAGCCTCTTCAATATTTCTTCCCTGCTTCCTTCCCAACAGAACCCCAATTTTTTGAAAAACAGTGGACAGAGAGACTATTCCTTTGGGAGAGGTAGTTTTTTCCCACAACTTTAAAAGTAGAATCATTCTTTGCTTAAACCTGTTACTATACATTCTATTTTGTTTATATTCCTCTTTCTTTTTTTCAGGCTTCTTTGCAATTAAATGTAGCCACATGACCTATCCTGGTCTGTGAAACATAAGTGAAAATCTGTTTTTGGTGACGTTTCTGGAGAAAACCTTTTCATCCTCATTTACCTGAAGGAGAGATATAAGAAGAAAATTGTTGACACCATCTCTTTCTTCCTCACTTAAAATGTGCACGTGATTCCAGGAGCTGTGTCAGCCACCTTGTGACCAAACAGTGAAAACGAAGATTAAAAGGCAGCACATTAAAACAAGTGCAGCAGGCTGGGCATGGTGGCTCACGCCTATAATCTTGGCACTTTGGGAGGCTGAGGCAGGTGGAACGTGAGGTCAGGAGTTCAAGACTAGCCTGGCCAATATGGTGAAACCTCATCTATACTAAAAATATAAAAAATTAGCTGGGCGTGATGGTGCACACCTGTAGTCCCAGATACTCGGGAGACTGAGGCAGGAGAATTGCTTGAACCCAGGAGGTGGAGGTTGCAGTGAGCCAAGATCACACCACTGCACTCCAGCCTGGGTGGCACAGCAAGACTCCATCTCAAAAACAAGGAGAAAAAAAAAACAGTATGGTGGTTACCAGGGGCTAGAAGGTGTCAGTCAAATAATACAAAATTTCAGTTAGATATAAAGAATAACTCCAAGACATCCATTGTACAACATGGTGACTACAGTCAATAACAATGTATTGTATCCTTAAAAATTGTTAAGAAAGCAGATCTTCAGGATTCTCACCAAGAAAAAATAGGTATGTGAGGAAATGCATAGCAAATTATCTTTTATTTGCCATTCCACAATGTATACACACTTCAAAACATGTTCTACATAGTAAATTTATAAAATTACTTTGTCAATTAACGAAATGTTTAAAAAGATGAATAAACATTGTCCCTATGTCAGAATTCCAGTAGACTCTCTCCTATTACTAAGTTAAGTACTTCAGGCAAGTGTTCTAATTATCTTGAGCTGCAAACTTAATTTTATTGATCCAATTGCATACTTAAAAAAGAAGGCTAACTATATGTAGGGGTTCTCCATGGTGGTATGGCTAACACAGATCTGAAGGAGTCTACTCTCTAGTGTCTGTTACATATTTTCACTTTCTCTCAAAGGTGACTCATCCTCAAAGATATACCATTAGCATCTGCAGACATGGAACCAATGGATTCTACTGAAAGGTTACTCAAACATAACTGAAAGGCAAAATCATTTGTCAATAATACATTTAATAAAAATTTGTTGAACCAATTGTCTACCAAGCACTATTCCGACCATAAAACGGTGAATGAAATAAAGTTTCAGTTTTCCTAATAGAGGAAAGAGAAAACTAAAGTGAAACAAACAGGAAACAAATTCCAACTATGATGTGACAAATACCTCAATGTGTGGAGGTAGCTTGAGAACTGGGCAACAGGTAGAGGCTGGATGGATTTTGAAGGTCATGCTAAAAATATGAACAGTAGGGAGATTCTGGTGAAGTCTCTTTGGGAGGTAATGAAGTCATAAGTGGTTAGAGCTCTCATGAATGGAATTAATGCCCTTATAAAAGAGGCCTCAGAGAGCTTCTCTGCCTCCTCCACCTTGTGAAATGCAGCATGAGGGAGACATCTATGAACCAGAAAATGGACCCTCACCAGATATTGAGTCTGCTGGCACCTTGGTCTTGGACTTCCCTATGTCCAGAAAGCGAGAAATAAATTTCTGGTGTTTATAAAATACCCAGTCTATGGCATTTTGTTATAGCAGCCTGAATAGACTAAGACAGCTACAATTTAAAATATATGTAAAAAACATATATTTTTATGCTTAAAAGTTATTGTTACTCTGTGTGCGTGCTATTCTACATTTGTGTATGTGTGTGTGAAGTTGGGAAAGAGTGTGGCATTAAAATACCAAATAAATGAATAGGAGGATGTCATACATTTGCTAAATATATGATAAGTATTTGTTAGGCAAAACTTATTCACAGGTATAAAAAGCCCGTCAGCATAATAGGTAAGAAACCTTCTCCCTATCCTGTTTTTTGGAATAATATATAGTCTTTGGGGTTAATAAAAAAGTAAAGCATTAAACTATCTAGCAAGGCAGTTTCTAAGGCTAACTGGTTGGCTTGTGTTGCACGGGAACATGGCTGATAGAGCCAGATTTCAGAACCTTATTTGATTTTCTATAGATGGGACTAGGGATAGGCTCCTCCATTGTATGTGAGAATATGCGTCACATGCATAACTACACAGGCCTCTTATTTTCCATCACTTGCTTTTTCTTATGGCTCATCTTGGATCAGCTGCAGTTAATTTTGCTCCATATTCCAGTGTGATTACAGCTGGAATCACAATGGCACTTTCAGTTTAGTTAACAACAGAGTGCCTGAGGCTTGTGTTCAGATGTTATAATAGTAGATTTGCTGGGGCAAATATGAGTTTTCATAAGTAACCTCTTCCAGGAGAATCCGGGGATCACAGAGCCATAACAAATTCTGAGCAGTATACTCTCTTTCCTCCTAATTTCTACCAGTAATTATAAAACTATGCAAGCTAAATGCTCTTTATTAAAGAGCATTCTTCTTTGCTAAAAGGCTTTTATCAGATTTCTCTCTTCAAAGCTATCAAGACAAATTGGCTTTAATTTTTTTTCTAATTTTAACACGCCAGTACAGAGGCAGGTTCACCAGCTCTTATATTCAATGAAAATTTGGTCTAACAGACTTTTTTCAAGATAAACTTGGAATCTAAATTGGAGGAATTTTTTAAAAGGACATTTTTGTTGTTGTTGTTGCAAAATTGCTTTGCATGTTATGGAAATGTGATTTTTCAATTTAAATAATCAGCTCTGCAAGCACACCATCTTATAATAAATAACCTAAGGAAGAATCAATCCACCATGACTATGTATGCTAACTCTTATAGCCTGAGTAATGGTGAGAAACCTCACTAATAACAATGTAGAAAAATACATAATTAAGAAACATTACACAAATACAGTCCATTACATAGAATTAAAACAAGCACACTTGAATTACAATGGAGCCTCCTAAACTAGTTTTCCTTTTCTCTCATTTTTTCATTTTTGTCAAATATGTATTTAATGTAGGAAGATATTCAAATAATACAAGCTGCCAGGTTGGGAGGGAAATAATATTATAGAAATATCTGCTTTCTTTTTCACTCAGAGAACAATTTAAGATAGAAATACTGACTTTTTGAGTGCAGCTATATCTACACCCCTATTTTTTTCAATATCAATCATTTTAATCCTGTGCCTGGAGTTTATTGATGTAATTACCTGAAAAATAAAAACCCGAACCAACTTTAAAAAGTCAGTGGAAAAAAATTATAAATATTTGACTGAGTATCCAAAAGCCTTTAAAAATGCTTATGCTTCAAGTATCCAGATAATATAGATATTCTTTCATCTTTCTGATAATGAATGGATTACAATAATTGATCCCATGTATCTATTATATTTGTACTTTTCTCTATTTAAATTCATAAATCTATTGAGAACTTTTGAAGTCCTGAGATTACAAAGATAAGATCATCATCATCACTATTAACTACTATATTTGGAGCCCCTGATATATATTAAGACTGCACTAAGTCCTTACACATACTGTCCTTTTTTGTTAGTCCTAACAAACCCATGAGATACATATAATTGTCTGTATTTTACAATTGAGGATACTGCAAAAGTCTTGATCCTAACAGAGTTTACAGGCTACCAAGAATTCACAATTAAAACAAAGAATTGAAAATGAAGGAAATATTATAGCTTGGTTATTTTCAGATATTCTGAAAAATTTGTTTTCAAATATTTAAAATATTTAAAGTTGAATATTAAAATACTCATTTTTCATACCATGTACCACAATGACCTTTCTTTCACTGACAGAAACATAAATTAATGAAACATAATTAAAAGAAACATAATTAATCCAGATTTTGCTAGTAGAAAGCAGAAAGAAAAGCATCCTAGGCAAGCCTCCAGAGGAATGAAAGTGCATGGCATATGAAGGAAACAACAACAAAGAATTTATTCTACTGGAGCAAAGAGTGGACAGGAAACATTTTCCAGAAAATACATCCAGAAATATAGTGTGAGGCAATCTAAAGGGCTTTCAGTTTAGACAGTGTTCCCCTGCAGTCAGTGGGCAGCCTACCTCTAAGGTCATTTTTCCTCAGTTCCTTTTTTTTTTTAACTTGCAAACATTTTTTAAAAAATTTTATTTTCATAGGTTTTCGGGGAACAGGTGGTATGTAGTTACATGAATAAGTTCTTTAGTGGTGATCTGTGAGATTTTGGTTCCTTTTTAATACTCTTTTTCCTCTATGCATTCTTTTAATGGTGATGTTCTTTCAGATGTTTTTTCCCCAAAATACACACTATATCTGGTCAACTTCTCCCATGTTTGATAATTCACTTCCCTGCTATACTCATCAATAACAAATCTATTTCTCTGGCCAAGACCCCTTTTCTAAATTCCAAGCCTGTATATTATATTGGTTGTGAAACCTTCACTTGAATATAGCGGAGGCACCTCAAACCCAATAGGCTGAATTTGAACTCATTCCCTCACTCCCATTACCTCTCCCCCTCTCTATGTTTCTTCTTCTTTGTCCTCCTTCTCACTAATCTTATCGCTCCTCCACAGCACTGGACACTCAGTGTCTACGTTGCCTCACACATCCAATCAAGGTCTCCAAATCTTGCTTACTCTCCCCACAAATATCTCCACTTCATCTCTCCATCATGATAGCCATCATTGGAATCTAGATTACTTTCAGCACCCCCAGTACTACATTGCTTACCCCCTAACCAATTATAGTTTAATTAGTATATATTAAAAAGTTTAACTGGGAACAAGACAAAAGAATATGTGGATATTCAATTTATATGCTTAGTCTCTGAGATATCAAGAATTAACTAAAACGCATCAGATCACAAAGCATCAGAAGTGGGAATGTAATGTGCCTGTTAAGCAAAGTGAAAGCCATTCGAGGAGTAAAGATTTCATGTTCCAAATTCTGGAAGTCCCAATCAGATGGATATAAGCAAGCGTATTTCTAGTTTTGTGTTCTACATTTTCAGTTCATCTCTTTCTTTAGCAAGTGCTCATGCTGCTCTTCAGATTACATTTTGAATTTAGAAGTCTCTAACGGATGTACTAGACCTATTTCTGACTAACTTCTGTAAAGTTAAAGCTTTATTTTGAAAGAGGAGACTAATTGTCAGCTCAGTTAGCAAGTGGGAAGAGGAAATTTTTGTGGCACTTAATTACAAGTTTTTAGAGATGTTATCAGTATCAGTAGAGAAAAACCTTGAAATGTGACTAAAAGTAGTATTTATATTATCATTAAAAGAACCAGGTAATAGAAGAGCATATCTTCTACCTTTACACTAGCTTTCTGGCTTAAACATCAAAGAAAGATGAACTGAATTAGAAGTATAGCCAGAAAACAAAAACTGTTGTATGGGATGAACAAAAATCTCACCTAAGCATAACCCAAGGCAGTTTGCACTATAGCTTTATATTAAGAATGACAAAATTAGCTACATCACCTTTTATAGTTTTTTCAATCTATTGAAATTCTAGGAAATGTGCAACACTCTGCATTCTGTTCCATATCCTTTGAAATTATTGAATCAACTACAGTAATTGTGCAAAAACTGGTATCTGGTAAGTTTGCAAAAATTCATAGAGCTATGCTAAGTAATATGACTATATTGAATATTTACATTTGGAAATCAAATTTGAAATAGGAATTACTTATTCACTATGATTAGCTTGAACATATAAAGACTCAGAGCTCTAACTCCAGCAATAATTCTAATTTAATTCTTATAATACTTTCTAATAGTACCTGAAAACTAAATAAAAATCAGATCTTCACTTTAATTTGAATGTTCAAGAGAAAAAAAAACCACGATTATCTGTTAAGGCTGACCATTATATTGACTTAAATATAGTGTTTAACTATTTAAGACATTTCTTATTTTCTACTATAGAGAATTTTCAAAGTATTTAGGAGATTTCCTCTACACAAACCACACCATTCAAAATTTTGAACTGATTAATTACTGATTTCTCAAAATTGAAACCTGGAATATTGTTGGTTAAGTTTAACAATATGGTATAATATGTCATAGTTCAGTTGTTAGGTGGTAGGAACATTAACTCAATGTTTAATATAATGCCAAACTGACTTTTATAAATTTAAATGCTATACCCTTCAAAATATTCACCTCAAGTTCTTGTTAGCATTTTACTACGGCTATACATTTTGCAGATGGTTAAAAGGCATAAAACATTCCATCTTTTCTCCATGGGAGATAAGAATCCAAATTTGTGTTGTGTATCTCCCCAATTCATGACAATTGAATACCATTATTCCCTTAGAAAAAAATAACAATGAAAAATATTAAGGGTCCTGCTACCATGTGGTTCTGTATGCTTAGCATGTGAAACACTATAAAAGGCTACAAATGATTGTTATCATATCTAATGATACTGCAAAGCCTAATTACTGCCACTGATGTGAGCGTATAATGCCAGATCATTTTCTCTTTGTCTCTGTTCTCTCTCCATTTAAAGTCTAAACCATATTGTCCTTTACCCTTTACCCTCAATCTTTTATTTTTGGCTCTAAAAACTGAAGACTTATTTCACAGTCTAGATCTGTTCAAAATATTTAAGCCCATTCCAAGGCTTTTTAAATGGCTAATAGATTGTGAGAAACCTTTTTCCAAACAACTTAAATGCAAAATAGTAAAATGACTGCAGTATTGATTATCTTAGCAGTACATCACTTCTTAATGTAAATCAGTACTTTATCAAATACCTTGTTTCTTTTATCATAGGTAAATCTTTTAATCATATAGTGAGTGACTGAAATCCTAGTGGTCTTTTTCATGTAGGCAATTGCATATTTATTTTTATATTTTTGTCACTTCCTCAGTCTTTCTTCTAAAAATCATACAGTGTAATTCTAGATAAATCAGTTCGCTGTGGTTCCCACAACAAAATAACTTTAATTACAGAATTATAAAAGACACGAGAATAGAATTTCTTAACATTAAGCTTTAGATTATACCATTGTTTGCTAGTTCATGTACAAACGCATGCACACTTTAAAAGTAACAATTCTAGCAGGTTGCCAGTATTCATTTTTATCATATATACAGTATTTCCTGAATAAGTATAAACACAAAATCAGAAATAAATTTTTGGTGTTCATGGCCCATAGAAAAATGCAAAAGTCAAACACAAAATTATTTATCTAACACAATTCAAATTAATAGTACCAGTTTAACATTTTGGATAAGATTGTTTTGCTGAAACTAAATAATGAGCTTTTATATGTTAACCCAATATCATGATAGACCAAGATGAGAATATGCACAAAAACACATTTCAAAACAAATTAAATGATATTTTCAAAAATTTTTCATTGAGAATGTAACTAATGGTACATTTACCAATAATCAATCATTATACAAGTTGGTACCCAAAAAAGACAGAATTTAAAATGCAAACATACAACTAAATGCTTTTGAGTTTGGTCTTTTGAGTTCAGCATAACTAATATTTCTCTAGTTATTCTTTCATGGCTCTTCATTATTCAAACTAACATAAAAACTTTGTAGAGCTCCTTGGACTTCCTCTGGCTCAAATGCCTTAGTCTTAGATCAAATTTGCTTCTCTTCTTTTTTTCTTAGTCCATTACAATTACTCTGTTATACCACACTATTTTTATGGTATCAAATCAAAATCTGAATTGACTGAATAACTTAAAAATCAAGCCATAGTCTACAAAAATTGCTGCCAATTGTAAATTAGTTTAAAAAATAAGGATTTTAAATAACTGGTAGAAATAATTCTGTACGAATACAAAAGTAGATGCAGAATGTTAGCGTTTTAATTTTTAGAGTATGTCAACTTAGCAACAGCCAACATGCCCTCTCATATATGAAAGAAAAATACTGTCACTTCAGGTAACCGCTGGGCCCCAATGTGATCATACGCATGAAAGCAAATGTTGGGACTAATTAGAGCGGAATGTTTGGTTACAGACTGACCCTCCACAAACTAAAATATTTTTATATGAACATTTTAATTATCACTGAAACATAAACCCAAATACAAAACTTACCATACCCAAATATTTCTCCAATAGTGTCTTTTTAATACAAATTGACCTTAACAAAATAGATTAATTCTGAAATAGAATTTACTTTACAGAGACCAATATTAGTCATTACCTGATAATTGAGAACATCCATGAAACAAAAGGAGAAAAGTCCAGCTTAGTCACACACAACCACTTTCAAAGTCTGAGTAATCAAACTGTATATTCATGGTTTTTGTCTGCCTTTGTGAGTGTGAATTCTGCTGTACTTTGACTTTTTGTTGTATTAAAAGATATTATCATATCTTTGTGCTTTAATGGTAATAAAAATGTATGTATGTAATGGTGTGTTTATGCTTGTGATAGGGTAACTGTAAAAGCCCATTACATTAAAAATAATTTTAATTGTGATAAAAACATACTTACCATAAAATTTACCATCCTAATCATTTTTAGGCATACAGTTCAGTGACATTAAGTACATTTGCATTGTTATGCTACCATCATTACAATCCATCTTACAAACCCTTATCACCTTGCAAAACTGAAACCCTTACTCATTAAACGACAGCGCCCCACTCACCCCTCCCTCAGCCCCTGGAAATTACCATTGTACCTACTGTCGCTATTAAATTGACTGCTGTAGGTGTCTCATATAAGTGGAATCATACAGTATTTGTCCTTTTAAAATTGGCTTCTTTTACTTAGGATATAGGATAATATGTTCAAGACTTCTATATGATGTACTATGTGTAAGAATTTCTTCCTTTTAAGGTTGAATAATATGCCATTTTATATATATACTTCATTATGCTTATCCTTATCCATTGATGAACATTTGGGTTATTTCCAACTTTTGTCTACTGTAAGTGATGCTGCTATGAATGTGGGTATACAATATCTCTTTGAGTCCCTGCTTTGAATTTTTTTGATATATACACAGAAATGGAATTGCCACATCATATGGTAATTCTATTTTCAATTTTTTGAGGAACAACCTTACTATATTTCACAAGTGGTTCCACCATTTTATGTTCTCACCAGCAGTGTACGAGGGCTCCCTGCTTCTCCATGCACTCACTAATACTTACCTTTTTGTTTTCTGATGAAAACCATCTTAAATGGTGTGAGATGAAAAGCCTATTACTTTTGAGCAAAGACCCCATTAAAGTTCTTAACAGGATTTTCTTAGCATAGTTTAAGTTACTTTTTTGATCAGTATTGATCAACTAGTATGTTATTTGTAACTTGTGATAACAGAATATACCTAACGCCACAAAATATACCTTACTTCAGAGGTCCCCAACATTTTTGGCACCAGAGACTGGTTTCCTGAAAGACAATTTTTCCGCGGATGGACCTGGGGGTGAGGGGCTGTGAGTACTGGGGTTGGTTTGGGGAGGAAATTATTCCCCTTCAGATTATCAGACATTAGTTCGATTCTCCTAAGGAGTCCACAACCTAGACTCCTCGTATGTGCAGTTCACAAGAGGGTTCCAACTCTTGTGAAAATCTAATGCCACTGCTGATCCGAAAGGAGGCCAGGCTCAGCTGATAATGCTCGCTTGCCAGCCGCTCACCTCCTGCTGTGTAGCCTGGTTCCTAACAGGCGATGGACTGGTACCGGTCCGCGGCCTCGGGATTGGAGACCCCTGACTTACTTAATTATTGAAAGCAATACAGTTGTCTTTCAAATCTGAAAGTCTTTAGCTACTAATCCTTTTTCTCATTAAAAATTATATATCACAACTTTTGATAACATGTAGTTTCTTAGGAATATAACTCTAGAGTTATGGATGAATAGACTATTTTTCATTATCTTTTTCCGCTTATATTTAGAGTATATGAATGAATGGCTTATTTCTCATTTTATTTCTGCCATTAACTTGTAATGCCTTTATTTAATAGCTATTTTCATATAACCAAAGAGGAAAGCATTGCATTTTCACTATCATGGATAGTTTCTGTAAAATGTTGCTAAAATATTCAGAAGAGCTTGGTAATATCATTGTGATGATTTGCCATCTTTAATTATGTGCTTGTCATTTTCCCACCACTTTTGTGTTGACATGAGAT
Source organism: Homo sapiens (assembly GCF_000001405.40). Classification (NCBI taxonomy): domain Eukaryota; kingdom Metazoa; phylum Chordata; class Mammalia; order Primates; family Hominidae; genus Homo; species Homo sapiens. Next base: position 129,550,594 of record NC_000004.12, on the reverse strand, counting down.
TCCTTACATATTTCTGAGTACTGGGTACCTGTTAGTGACAGTTAACAATTTGTCTGACAAAACAAATAGTAACTGTGGAGATATTAGCTGAGAGAAGAATGTAGTTTACTTCCTGAAATTCCATACTGCCCAGTTCTGGACAGAGTACCCTTTCATGTTTTCACTGGTAGTAGCCAAGTGGCCCAGAGAAAACTTGAAATCCTTCTGTTTAGAAAAGTCCTGGCAGCTTAATCCCACGGTTTTAACCTCAATCTATGAAAAGTTCTGTGCAAAACATCCTTTCCAGTACTAATGGAACTTTGATAAAAGTAAAACTAAAAACAAAACAGAAAAAAGACATTATTTTTGCACTGATTATGACCTATGATCCTAACTATGTAATACATTTGACAGAGAAGAAAGAACTCTTTACCATCTTCTCTGTAGGCAAATTCTTGAAGTGAGTTGCAATGCATGAACAATTACGTGTATGTCACTTTGTCAGAATTGGAAACAGTTATTTCCCATACATGAGAATTCTGGCAGTTACCGGGTTGTATAAAAGTTAATTATCTGTAAGTGTTGATCATTTCAATTCTATCTTTTGAAAAGAAATTTGAATCTTTGTTACTATTGCTAACCTTGCAAATCATTCATTAATTTTAGCCCTGGATCTAATGTTAAAGCTAAATATTTTAATGGTTCTTCATAAAAGAATGAATTCTTCTCTACTCACAAGTATGGGGCCTACAGATTGTCTTGAATAGGCAAAGAAAACAAATGTATTAATGGTCAGTGTTAGAATTTCACTAATCTGTTACAATTGACCCTAATTTATTTATTTATTTTTTACTGGTAACGATCACATATGGATCTGCAAAACATACTTGATATATCAATAAGACCATGTTCCTCAAAATTTAAAGTAATAGATAAATCGTAAGTGTTCATGGTGGTGATTATCATACTAGAGTGAATGATGATGAATCTGTGTTTAGTGTGTGAATGTCATAAACTTTTCTCTAGAATTTAATTCTCATTAAGTTAAACTTGTAATTTTACCATTCTACAGTATCAATATTTTTCATTCATATTCCTTTGATTTTTTATTAATATTTCATTTACAACTCATTTTTCTAATAAAATAAAACATAAGGCTTTATCTTTGTATGCTTCTCATTATTCTCTATTTCCATTATGACTGTATTCTTTTTAATACTGATACAAACATCTTTATTACTCTCACTCCAATTATTATAGACTAGTGAACTACCTGCTCAATACAATAGTTTTTCATTTATTATTCTCTTTATTCTTTGATTCCGCAGCTGACTTTATCCAATACGTTTATTTTTCTGTCAAGGGTAACTGAAGCTATTCTCTAGTTTCAAATTTAAGGGAGCTGATAACACTTTTTTTCCAGAATCTCTAACTACACTGCCATATCAGAAAATATACTCATTATTTCACACATTTATTTGTACTAATTTATGTTGCGATGATTGACAATACTTTATTTATTTTATTTTATTCATGTGTAGGGATTTTTTTCTTCTTTTTACCAATTAATATAGCCTATCTCTGCCTATCTCTATGCCGGCAATAAATATACATAAAATATGAGGATTGTTGATATAAAATAGTATCTTCTTAATTGTATTCTTAATATATAGTAAGAGGACTATTCTAAATATTTTATTAAGCTAGTATATATAGTCACAGGCTCTTAAGTTATATTTAGATCTGAGAGCTGCTAGACATCACCCGACATTAGAGAAATAGGGAAGTCAATTAATAGTTATATTACTCCACTTCTCAAAAAGAATCCATATCTTTGTATGAGTGCAATTAAGAATTATTTAATCTTTTTACTCAAAATGATAATTTGCAGTGATAAGAAGTTAATTTACAGAGTTTCTACTTTGCTTATTATCAATAGCCAGTTATATATTCAAGTCTTAGCCATTCAACAGCAATGCTAGGTAGCCTTTCTGTGCAAACTCTTTGCAGCTGTGGAAAGGTGAAAACAAAAACTTTCATACACAGTTATCTTATAGCTCATAGAACGACTTGCAAAGACATAGATGGAGCTGGAAGCCATTATCTTCAGCAAACTAATGCAGGAACAGAAAACCAAACACCGCATGTCCTCACTTATAAGTGGGAGCTGAACAATGAGAACACATGGACACAGGGAGGGAAACAACACACGCTGGGGCCTGTCGAAGTGCGGGGAGGGTGTGGTGAGGGGACTGAGAGCATCAGGATAAACAGCTAATGCATGCAGGGCTTAATACCTAGGTGATGGGTTGATAGGTGCAGCAAACCACCATGGCACATGTTTACCTATGCAACAAACCTGTACGTCCTGCACATGTATCCCGGAACATAAAATAAAAATTGAATTGAATTAGCAAAAAAAATCCCATAAAAGTAGGGAGCAGTCTGGAATCTACAGCTGGACTTTTGCCCTTCTTTCCCTTGTAAGGTTCCATTGTCATGATTCTCGCATACCTCAGTTTCCAACTGACACATTCAATCTCTGACCATCTCACATCCACCTTTCAAACTGAACACTCTTTTCATAGAAAAAGAGTATCTTCAGCATTCCTGAATCTTGGCTTAAATTTTCTATTCCTTGATGTTGACCTTTGCTGGTTCTTGCTAAGTATCTTGGGACCCGATTCTGACTCTCTGACTCCTGGCTCTTCCTCGATTTGATTTTTCTGGTTTGGGATTTTTATGCCTATGTATTAGCCATGGTTTTCAGTCTTCCTGAACACAAGATTTATCTCCATCTGGACTGAAAATTTGCTTTGTCCATATATGAAAATTTTTTAAAAACTTATTGAGAAAGATGACCAGTTAAGTACATTGTCTACACTCCTCCATGTGTAAAAAATAAGGAAAAATAAAAAGTAATTTTCATTGTTTACAGATGACATAACTATATTCCTAGAAAATCTAACTCTACGAACAAAAAATGCAGTAAAACAAAGAGAGTTTCCTAAGTTGGCCTGAATGCAATATTAACTTATGAAACCAATAGCTCTTTAATACAACACACTTCCTACACACTCCAACAAGTAGGGACTGTAACAAAAAAAAGATCCCATTCACAAATAATAAACTATAAAAACAAAAACATAAAATACACAAGAATATATATTTTAGAAGATATATCTTATAATATACCTTGTAAGATATAAATCTTATAATATATCTGTCTTATATATCTTTCTTATATTTCTTGTAAGACATAAATCTTATATATCTTGTAAAGATATAAACTTATCTATTTCATAAATCTATAGAAATATTATATAACTTACAAGATTTAATAAAATGAGTTTAATAAAATAAGTTGTTTTACTCACTTATTTTCTTACTTTACCTACTTATATTTCTTGTAAGAGTCTTATAAGATATATAAGATTTATATGGATTTGCATAATATATATATAAAATTTTATAAGAAATATAAGTAAGTAAAGTGAGAAAATAAGTGAGTAAACTTTACCAGGGGTCAAAAAGAAACCCTCAATAGATTAATTCCCAAATGGGAAAGTTTAAAAAAGATGTTATGTATCCACAAATCAATCTATACATTCAACAGTCTCTCAATCAAAGACCTCAAAGGGATTTTTGAATAAAATTTGAAAAGCTGATTTTCAAGTTTGTATTGAACAAAATGTGAACAAAAATAGTCAAAGCAATTGGGAAAAAATAGATAAATAAAAAACTCAAGGCAGAACTTGCCCTCTCAGATATCAAAATTTACTATAAGTAACTAAAATACTGTGATGTAAACACAGTAATATAAATATAGACCAATAAGCCATAATAAACTTTATGTGGAAACTGTCTGTGTGATACAAGTGACATTCAAACTCAATTCGTAAGAGGAAGGAACTGTGTAAAAAAATTTGTTGATAAGATAGTTGGCTCTGCATTTATTAAAGAATAAAGCTAAATTCATAACTCATAAAGTCCACAAAAGTAAATGAGCAATGGTCAGACAATAAACTATAAAAATATTAAAAGGAAATATAGGCAAGTATTTTCATAAAGTAAGTTAGGCCTTTATAAGCAAAAATAACACACAGAAACCATGAAGGGAAAGAATAATTGTTCTAAGCACACAAAAATTCTGTAACTTCAATATTTCAAATGAAACTGTCTCAGTTTGAATCACTTGGAAGGAAAGCCTGAGATAAGTCTCATGTACATGTAACTTACACTGGATTTCCGTACAAGTAATTTATTTTGGAAGTGATCACCGAGAACAGGGATGAGGAGGAAGAGGGAGAAAGGAAATGAGGAAAATAAATATAACGGTATTGAATTTTTTGAGGCTGATATTGTAGACAATGGGATCTCAAATGCTTCCCTGAATTTCTCATGAGAAGAGGAAACAGGGCATTCATACCCTGTTTCCTGCCACACCTTTTCTGAGGGTCACCCTTGGAGTTCTAAGTTCTCCACATTTCTGGGCTTCACTTACACAATGACTGAGTGAGTTCTCAGGACTTCAGAGAGGGCAGAGAAAAGCACGGCTCACACTGAAGGTAGTATTACGTCAATGTGTGTCTGAGCTTGCACAGAGCTCTTGGCACTCAGTGGCTGAAATTGGATGTGGGCCAATGGGACGGACGTGACTCCACACAATGAAGCACTGACTACAGTCCACCTTTTGCACAACTCTTCTCCACTAGTGTCCTACATTAAAACCACCCTGTCACTGAATTTTCAAATTGATGACCAGCCAGTCTTTAAAAAAAAAAGGCTGATTCAGACGGTTTAGTGGAATAAGCTACAGTAACCAGAGTTACACTGAGTGCAAAGTCATCATTTTCTCTTCCTTTACCATGAATTCTATAATTCTTAGGCTTATACCCTAGGGTTCCTCCAGGCCCTGACAAGGGGAATTATGTCAAATCCTTACCATATCCCTAATACAAGCTTGGGAAGCTGAAGCTCTAATTCACAGAGCCTACAATTGTGTGAACAAAGAGGACCAATTCCTAGAGTGCGCCACTGAAGTTACAATGGGAAGGATTAATCTTACTTCCTCCCCTTGTTCCTTGAATCTATGTACTCTGACTATTAAAGAGATAGCCTCATACAGTAGAAGTTTGATCAAATTATATAATGCTTCCTGAAGAACAGCAGTAAGGCTTTGTAAGATCTTTGTATCCTCAAGCAGCCATAATGTGATTTAAATAAGGCTATTTCAAAGTTCTATCACATTGGCTGCTTGATGAGTAAATCCTATTGTCATGTCTAAGGATCTGTTTTGATGGATTCCACATCAGTAAATCTGACATTCTCTAAACTTTCAGGTAATGATGTTACCTGAGAGTAGTGCTCTATTGTAGGTAGGACAGGCAAATTCGTATCTGGAGTGGGTGTCCATTTTAGTAAGAATGAATCACTGCCTCCCCTCCACCATGCTAAATAAGGTTCTCTATAATCATCTGACACTAAGTAGACAGTTGATTTGCTCAACAATGTACTGTATCAAGAACCCAGAGTTGGACTCTGCTGCTGATAGGGCAGGCATACAGCTGTATCATCCTTGGAAAAAGAAGGCCCATGCTACTGGACCCATGAAGAATCTTCATCTATGATACATGACTATTCAATTCATGGGCCTTTAGCGCTAGCAATAGTTTGAGGACAGAGGCTGAATGACCTGTCAGATGATTCATCCTGTCTACTGGTGGTCAGTGCCTCCTCTGCAGTGATGCTTTTTATTGGGCAGTGACATGAGACATGAATGTCTGCAATTATTCCCAAATGTCCATCCATATGGCTTTTTTTTTTTTTTTTTTTTTTTGAGATGGAGTCTTGCTCTGTTGCCCAGGCTAGAGTGCACTGGCGCGATCTCGGCTCACTGCAAGCTCCGCCTCCCGGTTTCACTTCACACCATTCTCCTGCCTCAGTCTCCTGTGTAGCTGGGACTATAGGCGCCTGCCACCACGCCCAGCTAATTTTTTGTACTTTTAGTAGAGACAGGGTTTCACCACGTTAGCCAGGATCGTCTCGATCTCCTGACCTTGTGATCCACCCGCCTCGGCCTCCCAAAGTGCTGGGATTACAGGTGTGAGCCACTGCGCCTGGCCCCATATGGTTCTTTTAAAGACCTTCTTACCTATAATATTCCAGTCTTTCTCCTCCCAAGCCCTTGTCCTAAAATCCATAAACTTGTTTTATAAAAATACCTGTAGTAAATATTTTAGGTTTTCTGTTCCTTGCAGTCTCTTTTGTAATGATTCGACTCTGTTTTTGTAGCACAAAACATCCATAAAGATTATGTAAATAAGCATGGCTGCATTTTAGCAAATCTGTATTTATGAAGACTGAAATTTGAAGTTCATATGATTTATACATAATTTGAAATATTATTCTGTTGAAATAATGTTCCCATATTTTAAAATGTAAAAATCATTTTAAACTCACAGGCCATATAAAAGTAAGTAATAGTCCACATACGGCTTGCAGGAAATAGCTTGACAACCCCTGTTCTTGACAAAGAAGCCAAGCCATGCACAGTTGCACAGGAAATCATATATAGTCTTGCTTCAGGTCATTTTTCCATCCATATGAAAGGGAAAATTAGATATACTGTTCATAGTCTTGCCTGATGAAGTGATCTCCTCTCATCAGTATATTTTAGAGGGTCAGTAACATCAATATTCCATATCTGGCTCACACTAACATATTGAGCCAGTGTACATATGAACTAGGCCCAATTTATCCCCTACTCCATCAGCTTCTTGAAGGGAATGCTCCATAAGGATTGAAGAGGCATCAGTAAAACAGTGATATACCTGTTCTTTGAAACTGTTTGGGCCCAATCCCTAATATACGATTTCCATCTTGCAGTGAGTCACTGATATATCTGAAAGGCATAATGACTTGGTAGATAAGGTGACAAACCTTTCTCCTAGTGGGCAGCTCTGACCTCATGGCTGCTTGATGTATCATGGTAAGGCACTCAGTCACCAAAAGGGCTAATAGCCTCCCAGGAGCTGCTTTTCAAATGGTAAGTAGTTTTCTGCTGCCAAAGGTATCCACTTCTTCTAGGTGCCCAGGCAAATATGCAACAACTCTCCTACTGGGGCTTTCTACATGTAGCACCATTGGATCTGCTGGGCCCTTGAGTGGCAGGATAGTTTATACAATAGCTTAGATCTGATAAGAATCCTCTTGTCATTGGACCTCACTCAAAATTAGCAATCTTTCAAATACTTAAATAGCCATTAGCTGGAAGTATGGTATGCACTGCCTCTAAAATCCAAACAATTCAAGTGCACTAAGCCAAACACTGTGCATTTTTCTAAGAATTGATGGCTGCAAGGTGCAACGATTTGTTCTTTACCTTGAGAGGATGTTCCAGTAAGACCCCAAGTTATTCCCCCAAGTTTCACCAATTTGGCAAGTCTCTGACTTTTTATAGGATTCATTGCCCATCGTCTCTTACACATGTGTTTTAGAAGAGCATCCAGGGTATTGACAAATTTCTTTCCATCAGGTCCAATTAGGATGATATAAAAATATAGTGGCCATGATAATTTTGTAGAATGTCAAAATTATCAAAGACCCTGAAGACTATATTGTGGCAGATGCCATAGATATAATAGATCTTTGAGGAAAGAAAGTGAAAGTGGACTGTTTTCTTTCCTGTAAAAACAACTGTTTTTGATCTTGTTCACCAATACAGATGGAAAGGAACACACTTACCAGGTCAATAATCACATATCAAGTACCAGAAGCTGTATTTATTGATTCAATAAAAATACCACATCTGGTATAGCAGCAGCAATTGCTAACACAATTTGGTTAACATTACAGTAGTTTACCCACATATGCTATGATCCATCTGTTTTTTTCTTTATAAACCATATAGGTGATTTGAACATGAATATATTGAAGCCACTACTCTTGAATCTTTTAAGTTTGAAGAAAAGGCCAAGCTCTTGAATTCCATCTGGGGACTATGGACAGTATGGCTTGCAGACTCATTTGGACTTAATATCAGTAAGTCTAATTATTTCTTCTAAGGAAGGAGTGAAAGACATGATAGGCTTCTGGATCTCTTAGTACCTGTGTCAACTGAAGCTTTGTATCCCAAATCCATCAAAAGACCAAGCACACCCGCTTTTCCTGGTAATTGGTGCAGGTCTCACTGGAAAAATACTAGGAAATATTTATGTGTACTCTTGTAATGTTTTACAAAACCCTCCTCAAGGGAACTTGATCTTTCCTTCAATTGATTGCTTCTGAGTCGTTCTGTTTTTGAAACAGAATGAGAGACTGAATTGTTCATTGTGCCATTAACAAGTAGATGTCTTCCTTCTGGCTGTTTATTTTATTTTAGCATAGTATTTTGGTTATACAACTCAAGAAATACCATCATTCTCACCCTACAAATGCCTTGTTCTAACAGTCATTGCGAGAGATCCCTGTAGGTGAAGGTAACCTGTTTGTCACTCTAACCCTGATGTTCATTATGGTAATTCCATCTCATTCACCTCTAATGCCTAAGAATATTTTCCTGGACTCTGATCTTCCATGAACCTATCGTTGTTATCCCATTTCCATGACAATCTACTCTACTGTCAACACTGGTCTTCAGAGCACAGCAACCACTGAGCTTTTCGCCAATATTAGAGTGTCCCTCACAGGTCCATTATTTATTGCTTTACACAGGAAGTGTCCTCTGGACTTTCACAGTAAAGTGGTTTTATGTTCTCATATAATAAATCCATTCTAATATTCTCTCCTCTGACCCCATCCTTAATACACTCACAAGACAGTTACTGCATCTCCAACTCATTCACTAAAGGCCATCATCAAGCCCAAGCTTCAAGTAGCCATATTGGAAGCATACAAGATGGGTTTCAATTTTCCTGGCAAAGGAAAGCATTCCTATGCCAATAAACTCTCCCTTCTCCAGCCTTACATTCTGAACCTCACCCCACTTGGTTCAACACTTTCAAGATCCAGTACTGTACATGCTCTGCTGTTTCCTGCTTATGAATATTAGTCAAATCTTGCAATTGTCAATAAAATAACTATTTCATCCAAGAGTTTGGAACATCCAGGATAATTTTCCACTCAGGCTTGGCTCTACCATGACTTTAGTTATTGGCTGAACACAGTGAGAGAACACAAAGATGGAATCTTGAGACTATTAAGTATTAACTATGGGACTTCTTTTCTGCCTTAGATGATATCTTTGTATGGTAAGGTAAGGGCATGCTGCCCTTCTCTACAATGGGGGAGAAGCAGAATAAAAGATTGGATTGCAACCTGGTAATATTTGGGAGTTAAAAGTTCTCAGGCACATTTATCCAACATCAAATTCTGAATATTCTCCTATCTGTTTTCTGACTTTAATGTAATTGACCCACTGAGACTGACACACAGTCTCCTTTGCAGTGTTGCCACCTTACAATTAAACTCCATCGAGGCTTCCTTCTGGCTACAGAAGATCAGGGTCTGCTTAAAGAAAGGAGTTTACCATTCTCTATTATTCCCTCAGAATTCTAAAGCAATTAACAAAAGTCAGCCAATCCAGTCTCATAACTGTAATTGTTTCTATCTCACTCAATTGCTAGTGGTAAGGCATAACCCAATTCTTCAACGTTAGCTTATAACTCATCCCAATAAGCCATAAGTAAGTGTTTGTGAAATTGCATCCATCACCACTCCACTTATCAAGAGCACCACTCCACCATCACCATCCTATAGTATTAACCCACTTATCAAATGCAGTGTGGTAATTATTGCTGACTAACGAATGAATGAATGATCCTACTCCGGTATCCCATCTTCACAGTTTGTTTACCATGGCCAACTCCAGTGTCAATTGTCTTAATTTGGACTCCTTTAAAAGTAGAGCCTGAGAGTTGGGGACAGATGATTTATATAAGAGATGAATCTAAGAAGCAGGAGTAAGTTATTTGGAAAGGTAAGAATAAGGAAGAGCAAAAGTAAATATAAGAATACATACAGAGGCCGCAGTTGTAAGCAATAGGAACTCAATTACTTGGGAATCTTTGAGAAGCATACATAATGGCTCTTGGTCAATAATCACATATCAAGTACCAGAGGCTGTATTTCTTGATTCAATAAAAATACCACATCTGGTATTTTATTTTATTTTATTTACAGAAAGTAAGGGGTTCTGGAGCATTTGTCCTCTAGCTCCTGTCACCCATTGGTTGAGGGTTGCCCTTAGAGACATTATCACTCTTTTAGTTTCTGGGCTGTAATTACATACTGGCTGAGGAAGCCCCATGTCTTTAGACAAGGTCCCGAGACATCTTGATGTGGGATACTATCCACCACAACCACAGCTAAAGTCAGAGCTGAACAAAAGGGTGTTAAGTAAAGACACACTGAAAGTCTTTACTGTAGATATTATTTTAAAAATATAAAACTGAATAGTAGCGATAAAATGTTTTGATGCATTTAATACCCCAAAATTATGACTGGAATATATAAGTCCCCAAACCAAAAGGGATTAATTGTAAAGGATAAAAAGCTACATAGGACAAAATGGAAGATACACATATGGAGAGATACTTAAAATACTTACTGATAAGAGAAAACAAATAGGAGAGCAATTTTTCATCATTTTCATCCATCAGATTTAGAAAAAATTAGTCTTTTCAAATGTTGGTTTGAAAGCTTACTATATGCCAGGTGTTCTCACAAGTGTTCTATATAAGCTGTATTATTCAACTTTTATACTATTTTGTGAATGTAGAATTATTATTATCCTCATTTACTTCTAATAATCTAACATCCAAAACTAGAGAGGTGGTTTTAAAAATAGTGGTATATTAATACTGTTGAGTACAATGCAGTTATACTACATGTGTTGATGCAAAAGATCTATAAGATATATCACTAAATAAAAAATTCAAATTGAAAAATATGTCATATTATTTTCCCATTTTTGTGATAATAGGAAGAAAAGGAGGAGCGATGCATTTATATGTATAGGTAGATACCGGCCATTGCATAGAAAGCAGACTTTAGAATACAGAGAAAGCATTTTGCACAGGTTACCTCTGGGAAAAACAGTTGAAGTTTGGGAAAGAAAAGAAAAAGTTAACTTTCCTATTCTCCCGTGTCCATTTCTATATTGTCTGCGTCTTTTGAAAACAAATTTGTGCTTGTTATTATTTTTATAACCAAAATGTTAAAAACATCACTGACATCTAGCTTGTGATAATGAGTCTGTTGAGAATGAGCCCAGGGAGAAAGACTATAAAAGTGTAAAATGAAAGCCATTCCTTGCCTACCTGCTCTGCCTTAATTTTTCTTCCCCTTAAAAGGGAAAATCAGGAGATATCTTTTCCAGAAAGCCTATTCCTGCAAACATAATATCAGACTGAGTTTTGTTACTTTTGTTTGAGAATTTTTGCCATACTGATGCATATACATAACTGCGTGCATTCAAGTACGCATATTAGGTTCAACTACATAAAATAGCCATTTTTGAAGATTACAGATAGTTGATGGTGACAATTCCATGTGTTTAAACTCTCTAAAATATCATACCAACATCAGAATTAACTAGAATGGTGTCACTTTCTAGCTGTTTATTTCTAGAAAAAAAAAGTTCAGATACCTGTATCCTATTCTTGTCCCTAAACAGATGCTAACATAATTGTACAGCTGTAACTCTGTAACTCCTATGCTGTGATATTAAGAAAGTCTTAATTTTAAAAAGACAAAATTAGAAAGTTTATAAAATTGCATGCAAAATTCAAGCTTCAAAGTTTGCTTTTTCTCAGTTCCTTGAAATCTTCCAGTGGACTTGTCTTCCATCCTATCATAGCTATTCCTATTCTTAGCTATACCTGAGGCATTCACTCCCATCTTTCTAATTCATTCCCTTTAATATCCCAACTCCTACAATACTTCCATCCAATTGGGATTTCCAATCCATTGACTTTAAATCTCACCCACTGAATAGGCCTCCTTCTCTCCTTGCTCGGCTTAAATTCCATGGACATCCACTACAATCATTTTCTGGCATTTTCACATTTTCTTGATCATTTCTCACTCATACTCCTTTGGCTAATCCAGGTTAGGTCCAATTTTTATCCTACTTCATGCCTACACCCAGCTGAAAGTGAAAGTGACTGGAGAACAACACACACCATGCTCACGGGCTCCACTTCATATTTCTGACCACAACCCCCAGGTGGGCCTTAATGCTGCTGGCCATTCACACTCTTTCCATGGCCCATTCACTCTCCACTATAATAACCTAATATTTCAGCCCGACCTTGTTTCCTCAAACCTCAAACACCTTCGTGCCCACCCTCACTCTCTACTAGTGACCTTGCTTCTCAATTCACTGAGTAACATTGAAGTAATCAGTGAGGAGCCTCCACTATTGCACCCCTACATCTACTCACCTACGAGTATCTGCGTCCTTTTAACTTACTTTTCTGCCTGTTCCTACCAGTGACCTCTCTGTTCTCTTTCCTGCAGCCAGCTTCTCTACATGCATGCTTAATTACATCCCCTCCACGGACATAGTCCCAGCCCTTCGCTTTTCTGTCTCTTACATCATCATTTTTTCTTTCTCCTGAATCATTGCTACCAGCATAATAAAAACTCATTGTCATATTTCCCATATTAGAACAAAACAAAGCAACATTTTATCTTGACCTCACTTTCTATGCCAACTAGTGCCTCATTTCTCACCTCTTGTTTAAAGCAAAACTCCATGAAAAGATAATCTGTATTTATTCTCTCCAACTCTCCTCTCCTCCACTTTCCCTGTTTCTTTCAGGCTTTATCCCCTATCCCTTACGAAAACACCCTTGCTAAGGTGCCCGATGACATACACATGCTAAATATGTCTGCCAAATTTCTTTGTCCTATCATGAACATTTGATGTAGTTTATCATGTTATCCTTCCTAACACTTGGTTTATCTCTTGCCTCATTTTTTCTCATCTCTTCTCTTTATAAGTTCATTGAGATGATGATCTCACCCAACTCATGATTTTAAATATTGTCTAAAGGAGATGACTCCCAGATTTAAATCTTTGGCTCAAGCCTCTTTCTTGAATTCCAGATTCATATATCTAATTCCCCATGCAATACCTCCACTTAGATTTCTAACAGTAATCTCATACTCAACATATCCAGGACTAAATTTTGGATGCCTTTTCAAAGTTTAGTTTGGAGGATCCTGTCCCTCCCTTAGTCTTCCCCCTCATAGCATATTTTATACGTCTAGTTGCTTAGGCCAAAAATCTTAGAATCATCCTGACTCCTCTATTTATTTCACAAATCTAGTTAAGATTATCATTTGTTCACCAATAATTTTTGTAGGGAGGAAACAAATTTTCAATCAAAATAAAAGTTAAAAACCATGTTCCTAATGTATAGTCAAGTTATTAAATTTAAAGGGACTACTTTGTGTTATGTTATAAAGCAATTAAATGAGCACTCTTTTTATGTTGTTGGCTTCAGAGAAAATTAAATTAAAGCAATTATTGTAGACAATGATTTGCCAATATATAAAAAAGTCTTCCAAATCAATATTCTGCACTTCCAAGCCAACACATTTTTATAAGGCAGTAAGCAACCATGTATGCAAACTTCAGGTACAAATATGTTCTTTTCAGTGTTACCTATCCATTTTAGAAAATTTAAAAAATACAGAAGAGTATAAAGAAGAAAGTAAAAATAAAAAATGCTGCCAATGGTTTGGTTTATTTATTTGTTTATGAATAAATTAATTTATTTTGCCCAATATATTTACCTGAATTTCCTCATGCCATTAAATATAATATTAATGTATGATTTCAATAATTGTATTGTGTATCATTTGGGATGGGATTGGGCCACATAAGAAAAAGTAATAAAACAGTGATCCAAACTAAATAGAAGTTTATTTCTCCCTTACATAAAAGAATTCCTGAGGTTGACGGTTTAAGGTTAGTAGAGCTATTCCACATAGTCAGTAGACAACTAGCCCCTTCAAGCTCACTTCTCTGCCACTTTTGGGATGTGGTCTTCAGCCATATCAGCCAATGTTGCTCCTAGAACTTCAGCCATCACATCTTATGCCAATTAGTTGCTTAAAGGGCAGAAGAGATGCATGACCTCTCCTTTTTAAGGAAACTTTCCAGAGCACTATGTAACAGTTTGCATCTCATTCTCTAGAGCTTAATTAGACCAAGGTTTAAGGGACTGTGGGAAAAGTAATCATTTTTTAGCTTAGAGTTTGTGTCCACTTAGAATCTGGGATTCTGTTATAAAGGGAAAGGGAGGAATAGATATAGGAAAGGAAGTAATAGTCTACGCCTCAAAGATTTTACGTGTAAAGAACTTAGAGCAACCGTATTTTGATCATTTTCAGTGTATAGTGTTTAAGTTATTGTTTCATACTTACAAGTATGTGAAGAAACCTCCTTCTAAATCCATATAATCTATTTCCCAAGCAAGAGTTATTAAACTGCATGTTGCTCAAGTGAAAAGCTAAGAAATGAAATTTTTTGATATTAACATAATTCCATTGTTTTATTGAAATACACCTTTAGCAAAAGCCACAGTAAACTCATTCAAATGTATATGATGCACCTATATTGGGTGACTAAAATTTGACCCTTTCTTTCAGTGAGGCATGAGGAAAAGAAGGGACTGTGCTTTACTCTTCATTGTACTCGCTACAGTGCTTGCTTCAATGCCTTGCATATGGTAGCAGATGCATAAACAGTGCAGGTCTCTTGAATGGTCAACTTACTTCTACATTTTATCTGACATAGAGTCTAACCCTAGATTATAGAATAAAGGAAGGAAAATGAAAGAGAAGTAAAAATAGAAGTAATTTTTCAGTACTTTCTGTCAGGCAAGCATGGAATTGTTTTACATCTATTAATTTAAGTAGATTTTGCAATGGCCCACTGAGGAGGTATTAAAGGTCCTTTGTTACATAATAAATAACTAACAATAAAAGAAGTTAAACGTAGCACAAGGTGCTTAGCTGGAAAATGATCCAAATAAAGATTAAAATCCAGGTCAAAAAAAAAAAGAAAGGAAAAGAAGTAATTTATTTAATAAAAGCCCTTGTTTTTTTTTAACATTTTGTGTCCTATTTTTGAATTTATAATAAAATGCTTTATTATACATTTAATTGTAGAAATAAGTTTATATCTAAATCACATAGTAATCCTAATTATACCGAAAAGCCTCAAAATTTAATATAGATACTAAGTTGGCAGGGTTGTATTCACTTCTTTAATTTTAGAGAAAACATAGGTCAAATTATAGACCCAAACACAAATTCTATATCTAGCACCATTATATGACAATGTGATATTTTAGTTATTTGAAAAATTGTAAAACTATCAACATAAAAGTAATTTGTGTCCATAAATACATACACACACACACACATATATATGCAAATAACCTGTTTTAAAAATTATTCAAAGAAATCCCAAATGTTCTTCCCCATCTAGGCAGACTAACTGACATTGCTTCAAGTGGCTATCGTAATCCCATTCAATTTTTAGATCCACTTCTCACTCAGACGCACATGCACAGTATATTGAAAAAACCAATACTTGCACTACTATATTTCCAAAATTCAATATATTAATGTATTTTACAAACTGAAATATGGGTAAAACAATATACCAAGTAAAAATAAACACCAGCTTCTTCAAGTTTTTGAAAAGAAAAAAAGACAAGCACAAACATCCTCACTTCCCTTATGTATTAAAAGGCATACTTCCATTAGAAAAAAAATTAGAAACTACTAACATCTTTTACCCTGGTTGATAACATTTTAAAAATATGAGAATGATCGCAGTTTTGGTTTATTAGCTGAAATATTAGTTTAAAGCTTATAGAAAAATCCCATTCTTCAAATTTTATGCAAATGCTTAAGTTTGATTTGTCCTTTCCCATTTTAGTATCTAGTGAGGCAGCCTGTTATGAACATAAGCAATCTAGTATCATGATGCATTGCTTCTTTGCAGTAGGGTTTAATGCTTAAGGATATATAAAATGAGTCACATCTTTGATTTTGACCTAGTTTGAAGACCTATTTAGTTCTCATTAAGCTCTTCTCATAGGTAAAATAATGAATTATATTACTAACTCTTAAATCACTTCTCTAAAGAGCTATGATTTTTTGCGTGTACATGTATTTAGAGATTGGAAGGCCTGATGATAACAAACACAAAGTCAAAACATCACTGTATTTCTTTAGTGCTGGCCACTTGGGAAAGTTCTCATTACAGAGTGATAGCCACAGGCCATTTTCCCTGTTAAACTCAGATGAAAACTAAGCTACTTTGATCCAATCCTTTTGAAAAGATAAGACTGGTGTTATGGTTAAAACTTCAGCTGACAGATTTCAAATAGGACCACAGTTTGAATCTATGGGGTTTAAGGGAAAGAACAAAGAGCTTCTGAATCTGCTTATAACGGAGCAGCTCATTTTAATGGAATAAACTGCATGGAACCTACACTTCTCTTATCAAATGAGGCATCCTTTACTTTTACAGGACAGTCTTAATTGCTCAAGCCACTTGGTTAGAGTATTATTCAGGCTAATTACCTGTCAGCTATCATTAGAAACATTAATGGCACTTTTAAAACCACCTATTCCTCAAAACTTCCTTTGTGGACTGTCTTGCAAAATGACACCCAATTGCTGGCACACAATAAAATGCTGTAGTAATATTTGAGGGGTAAGGGCAGCACAACCAAACCACAATACATTGGGAAAACTCAATTTTATGCAAAAGCATGTGGCTTGGCTTATTAGTGATGTCTCGAGATGTCCCACTCTCTCTTCAGCCCCTCCACACTCACCGGTTGCCGGAGGAGGTGCCAGCCCTTCAAGAAAGTGCCCACTCATTGATTCCAGTGAGGGCTTCTGCCCCCTGTCCCTTGCTGATTTCTAACACCAGTAATGGATTCACCATGAAGCTCATGAAGCTTAAGCTTTGGGACTTCTCACGAGCATAGTCCCTTTCCAAGTACCTGTACCCAGTTGTTAGTCATAATTACATATGCATTTTTTCCACAGTTCCTTCCTCTTTCCCTGCCCTATATAATCCGCAGGCCACATACAAAACCTAGATTCACCTAGGAGATTCATATGTATGAATGAAGGTTCAAATGTATGAATTCATATGTATAAAAAACTGAAGATTTAGCTTTAAATTAAATCTAGGTCAGAAAAAGCCATGAGAAGTATAATCCATATTCACACATCATTTGGTCTCCATTCAAATGATGCTGTTTGAAGAGGTCTTCCTAACTACATTATTTAAAGAATTATCCTAGACCCCTCCTGTCACCCCATCTCCTTGTTTTCCGTTTAGTGGCACTTGTAACTAGCTCCTTTTGCATTTTAATACTTGTAACTTGCTACATTACACAATACATTTATTTATTTTCTTCCTCCCTACTGTAATGTGATCTCCAAATGGACTCCAAAGGGACTCCAGAAGGGAGTCTCTGTGTTTTTTATCACTGAGTTCCAGCATCTAAAATAGTGGTCACCACACAGGCTAAAGTGAGCATATAACTTATTGTCCAAACAATAAGTCTTGAAACTAAAAGGGAGCATTATAATAATTACACCAGAATATCAACTGTAAACTCTGCCAGTTCTAGGAAACTGGAACCAAAGTCAGCCTGCCCTAAAACCACATTGAGTGCATTGCCACTAAGCAAGAGGAAGTGAAAGAAAATTATTTGATACTAGAATGGCTCTCTGATCTCAGATCTGGCTTAAATCAACTCCTTGTTCTAAGGGTTGGAGGAAATCTTTCACTTGGAAAATTCTCTTTAGTGCATCCTGTGCTTCCTGTAACTCAATGTTCTCAATGGGGAGCTATTTATCCCCCTCCCCCAACCTACACAGAATATATTTGGCAATATCTGAAGACATTTGTGGTTGTCATAGCTGGGAGGGTGCCACTGGCTTCTAACGGGTAGAGGCCAGGAATGCCACTCAACATCCTACAATGCAAAAGTCAACCCTCATCCCCAACAAAGAATAATCTAGCGCTAAATGTCAATAGTGCTGAGGACAAAAAACCATGTAGTAACCAAAGAAGAAATTATCCACAATAATAAGCATTCCCATTCAGTTCCAATTTAATACTATTATTCTTCCCATTAAATATTCTAAATTTTAATATTATTGAAAAATAAAGTATTCTTGAAGACTATTTTTTTTTACCTTGACCCAAATCAGAGCTACTCCTCTGAGACATGGCTTGTTAAGGGAATAGAAGGGGCCATGAAAGAAGAGCGATTTGCAAAGATAGGAAAAGTTTGGAAATATTCCAAATTACATTACTATCCTTAAGGAACCTAGAGCATATTGAATAGAGTGTGACTATCACATAACATCCTGTTATTTATAGATAATAGAAATTTAGCAACCTTACCAAAAAATAATAATGCATAAGCTTTAGAATGTTTATTAGGCTTCAGAATTTTTTACTAAGCACGGTGTTATTTGATCCTTGAAGACGCATTCAGGTATTATGATCCCTAATAACGACAAACTTAGCAACAAAAATGATTACTCGATTACTTATCTAGAAGGAGACAAATCAGTGTAATGACCTAAAAAAGAAAGGGAGGTGTTATGGGGGCTGATAAAAACTTAACTTTCAACTAGTATCCAGTATGTGCAACATAGTTCATGTTCTTTCACTGAATCCTCACAACCATCTTATGAGGTATCATTATTTCCATTTTACTACTTAAGGAATAGACGTTGTGGCATGCTTATCTTGGCTAAGGCTTAAAACCTAGGTGTCCTCAGACTTTATGTAAACCTCCTTCCAGAAAACTATGTTTCTTCTCTATTTATGTGAACTCCTTTTGCTTATTTTTATTCATTTATTCACTCATTTAATTCAGCACATATTAACATTTAACATTACCCACAAAATGTGAGACACAATCCTAGGCCCAGGGAAAACAGCCTTGAACAAAACGAAGTGTCTGCCTAAAGGGAATTTAATTGCACTTAAAAACAAAACAAAACAAAAAACTTGCTTAGATATTCATTTCCTTCTCCCTGAGAACTGAGCCATTACCCAGCCATTCACCCTGAGAGCACCAGCTGGTACATGGTGTCGAGGGCTGTTGGGAAATTACTGTGTAACTCTTTACAAATTATTTTTGCTATGTTATGTTGTTTTGAAAATGTTATGATGTTAAAACAGCGAGTAAACTCTTTTAGAATTTCTCAAACTGCCTTAGAAAACTAAGTTACCGAGAGTACCACTGCTCCTTCTTTATGCAAAGTAAACTTTAATGAAGCCCTAAGCGGGAGGAATAAAAGAAATAAGCCCATCAGTTTAAATAAGTACAAATAATCAGGGTAATCTAGAGAAAAATTATAGGAACAGACATGAAAAAAAGTCTAAATTGTCAGCAACAGGAAGAAACCATGTAATTCTATTATGTAATTAACTGTCCTTGGCAATATGGTATCTGAAGAACAGTACACATACTATGAAAAAGCTTTCAGTTTTTTGCCTTGTCTGAGTCAAGTAAAAGGAAACAGAACATGTCTTCTGAATTTGGATCATAAGTCTAACTTCTACTTACAATTCTGATTGAAATCATTTATGTGCCTGCTATCCAAAATAAATAAATAAATATACAACATGTCAAGTGATGGCAAGTGTTATGAGGTTAAGGAGGGTGAAACACCAAGTGATGGAAGATTCTGTTTTTGATGAGGTGTTAATGGAAGGACTCTCAGATAAAGTGACATTTGAACAGACTTCAAGGGAAGAGTAAGCCATGTTAATGGCTGGAGAGAGTGTCCAAAATCACCCCCGCCAAAAAAAAAAAAAAAAAAAAAAGCAGACCATGCAAAAGATTTGGAGTGGGAACTGACCCAGAGTACTGGAGGAATAGAAAAGACATCAGAGTGGCTGGAGGAGAGTTTGCCAAGAGAAAAAATTAGAATGAGATTAAGTCAGAAAGAAAGGCTGTGAAAAGATTACACAGGACCTTGAAGGCCATGTTAAGGATGGATTGAGATGGGAAGCCAGGACCAGGCAAACTTTTGTAAAAGATTACACTTGCTACTGTGCAGAAGGAGGAAGCAGGTTTTTGTGGGACAAGGATGAGATCAGGAAAACCAGTTAGATTACTTTACTAGGGTGAAGGCAATGAGGAGTGGGCAGAGTTCTAGACATATTTCAAAATCAGAGCATGTAGGATTTGCATGGATGGGATGTGGGATGTGAGAGCAAGAGAGGAGTAAAGAATGACTTCAAGATGTTTAGATTGAGCAACTATCAGAATAAATTCCATTTACTGAGATGGAGAAGACTTCTGGAGGAACAGATTTTCAGAGGAAATTCAAAAATTCAGTTTTTGAGGTGTTAAATTTGCAATGTCTAATTAACATCTAAATGCAGGTGTCAAGTTGAAAATTCAATAGGAAAGTCTGGGATTCAGGATTGAGATCAGGGCTAGACATATAAAATTGGAACTCTGCTTGGAATAGATGCTTTGTAAAGCCCTATGATTGGATAAGAAAACAGAGAGAGGGAAGAGTTGAAGGCTGAACCCTAGGTCACCCCAATACTTGACGTTTGGGAAGTTGTAGTTAATCCAGCAAAAGAATGCAGAGCAGTGAGTTGTGAGGAGAACTAAGAAAGAGCCCAAAGGAAATGTTTCCAGGACAAAAAGAAATGTTGAACAACATCAATTCTCCTGAGTAGAAGCTGTATGGACCACTGAGTTTGCAAGATGTGGGTTATTACAGACATTGGTAAGAGTACTTCCTGTTGAATGAGAGACAAAATCCCATTGAAATGGATTAATGGAACATGCAGAAGTGGCAAAAACTATAGGCAGCTATTTGAGGAGTTTTTCTGTCAAGGGCAACAATAGAAATGTTATGGGGGTTGAGAGGAATCAAAGGAAGTTTTTGGTTTTAATTTTTTTTAATGAGAGATACTACAGATAAAGATTATGACTCTTTTTTTTTTTGAAACAGGGTCTTGCTCTGTTGCCCAGGCTGGAGTGCAGTGGCATGATCTCAGCTCACTGCAACCTCTGCTTCCCAGGCTTAAGAGATCCACCTGCCTCAGCCTCCCAAGTAGCTGGGACTACAGGAATGCACCACCACTCCCAGCTAATTTTTGCATTTTTTTTGTAGAGACAAGGTTTCCCTATGTTGCCCAGGCTGGTCTTGAACTCCTGAGCTCAAGCGATCCACCCACCTTGGCCTCCTAAAGTGCTGGGATTACAGGTGACTCTTAAACTTAAATCCAAAATTGTTGAAATTGATTTCAGTATTTTTTCCACATAAAACAGACCATCAATATGGGTAGGTTATCAGCCGGGGATAAGATGGCCATGACCCTTGATATCTGCCTCTATTTCAATATCCTGGAATTCATTTATTCATTCAGTTTTCACCCAAATTCTTATTGGGTATTTACAATATGGCAGGAATAGTATGAGGCACTGAAGATAAAAGGTTAAAAAGAAATACAGACAAGGGTTCTGTCCTCATCAAGCCTGTAGTCTAACATGGAAGATTGACACTAAGCAAGAGAAAAGCCAGTTATTTATTTATAAAAGGGAAGCACAGGGGTTCGTGTAGGTCTTTCCCTTGCCCAGAAGTGAGGATGGAGCTGCCAGCCAAGGAAGGCCTCCTTGCAAAGGCCTGCAGAATAAGTCTGAACTAGCCAGATAGAGGAGAAAGTGCAATGAGATCTTTCCCTGCAGCTAAGGAAAGAGCTTGTGGAAGGTCTGAAGTTAGAGAGAACTTGCAGCATTGCAGGAGCCAAAGGAAATCCAGTGTGACAGGAATAAAAAGAGTGAAGGGCCAGGAAATGAGACAGGCCTGAGAAGAGTCAAGGTCAGAGTCCTGAGGAGCTTTATTATCCACATTAAGCATTTAGGGTTTTAAGCACAGAACGATGCAAACAGATTTCTGTTTTTATATTGGCCTTCTGACAAACTTTCCCACCTATGCAAATGTTTTCTTCTCTGCTTGAAACAATCTTTCCACACCTTTCACGTAACTGATTTATTACCATCCTGAAGATCTCAGGCTTAGAAGCACTGAGAATGTATAATAAGTCCTCAATAAATAAGTTTAAGTATAAGTGATTTATTGGATATAGTCACAAAAGGAGAAGGAAAAATCAAAGATTTTGCCAAACTTTCCAGTGTGAGCACCAGGAAAGATAGGATATATTGGTGAATCAGCAAGTTTTAAGAGAAAAAGAAAAGATGTGGTAATATTTAATATATTGATTCGAAGATGCTAGGGGGTAAAAAGAGGGAGAACTAAGCTAGAGGCAATACTTCAGTCTTCACATATAAATAAAAATAGCTAGCCTTGAGGAAGGATAAGCATTCGCTGTGGAAAGTGCAGAGAGTGAGAACAAACGAATATCTGTGAAGAGAGAGGAAGAAAAGGCAGTAAAATATCTGACAACTATGGGAATAATTAGGAAGAAAACTAGGAAAATGTGGTGTTGTGGGAAGATGATGTTTCAAGTAGTAGAAAATGTTCAACAGTGGCCAATGCTATGAAACCATCAAAGTAAAGGATGAATGGGCCCACTGGATTTGGGGACACAAAAGTCTTCAATAACCATTGGTGGGAGCAGTTTGTGTGGTCAGAGGCAGATTTCTGCCAGTTGAGATGTGAGTGAATAGCAAGTGCCAATAATTCCTTGAAGGTGTCAATTCTAAGAGTTTTGTGGGAACAGTGAAAGTTCACTGGCTGGTGGATTGGGAGATGGGCTAGTTATTTTTTAAGATTAGAGATAACAGAGCATATGTAAATTCTGATTGACAGGAACCTAAGATAGACAGTAAAGATTCAGAATTCTCAGTACCACAAGGCCCTTCACAAGATGAAGAATATAGGGCCTAGGGAGCAAGTAGACACAATAGTCTTGCATAGGAAGTTCTTATCGGATGGGTTCCTATTTGTCTGTGAAATAAGTTGGTGTAAATATCTGCCAACCTCTTCACCTCTTACCTGAACTATTGCAAAAGGTTCCTAAGTCCTTCATAACCCCAGACTTGTCCCCATGCGAGTCAGTCTTCCCTGTTGAAGTCTTCCCTCTTCCACCTCCATCCTCCTTCCTCTGCATTTTG